>NC_000002.12:25388543-25540058 GCF_000001405.40 Homo sapiens | reverse complement strand
AGGAAGCTGTAGTCATAAAATCACTGGTGTTGTTATAGGAGCAAAAATAGAATATATATCCAGCAGGAATATATGTAATAATAGTCCATTTATTAAATAATGGACTATTAAATGATAAATGTAAGTAGTAAATGTAGGACAAAATTGGATTATTTCCTGATGCCTATCAAGACATTATTTCTAAGTAGATTCAGATTTAAATATGAAAAGTGAAGAGTATAAAACGTTTTAGACGGTAATTTGGAAGTATACCTTATGGCCTCAGGAAGGGAAATATTTCTTAAGGTACAAAAAGAACAGAATATAAAGGAAAAAATTACTACATTGGGACCACTGATATTTAAAGATGTTCATCAAAAACATAGCAGAGTGAGAAACAAGCCTCATAATAGGAGTTGTTTGTAAGATACAACTTTCCTAGGGTTAAAATACAAAAAGTATAAAGAACTCTTACAAATGAGTTAAAAAAAAAAAAAAAAAAGGCAATCCAGTGCAACCCTATGACAAAGACAGGAACAGGCATTTCACAGAAGAAGAAACACAAATGGCCCATAAACATAGGAAAAGAGGCTCAATCTTTTTAATAACCAGGGAATTGCAAATTAAAACCACAGTACCATTCATCACCCACCAGCTTGGCAAATGTTAACATGTCTGGCAATAACAGTTGGCCAGAATGTGAAGTTTAAGGAACTCTCACACAGCTGATGAGAGTGGAAATTAATGTTACCACTTTGTAAAAACAAATTGGCAGTGCTTAGTAAAATTGAATGCGCGTAACACTATGAGCCAGTAATTCCACTCTTACAAAATTCTTATACATGGCCACTAAGAGACACGGACAGGAAAGTTACAACAGCATTGTGAATGAATGGAAAACATGGAAACACCCCAAATGTTTGTCAGCAGTGGAATGGATATATAAATTACAGTGTAATTAACCAATGAAATACCATCAAGCAGTGAAAAAAATGAATGAATTGCAATTACATCCATCAGAATGGATAAATTGTAACATAACTGAGTGAAAGAAGCAAGTCGCAGAAGACTATATAGAGAACTATACAGGTTTTATACATATCTAAACAATGTATTATGCATAATTGCTAAAATAATAAAGTCAAAGAAATGATTAATACAAAATCCAGGATAGTGATTATCAGGAGAGGAGGAGGCAGAGTGGGAGTGGGGTATAGTGTTAGGATGAGGGTCTGTAAGGAGTCTTCAGAGTGACTAATGTTCTATTTCACAGGCAGAATAGTGGGTAGGTAGGTATTTGTTTTATAACTTTTAAAACTGTACTGTACAGTTGGGTGTGGTGGCTCATGCCTGTAATCCCAGCACTTTGGGAGGCTGAGGTGGGTGGTTCAACTGAGGTCAGGAGTTTGAGACCAGCCTGACCAACATGGTGAAACCCCGTCTCTACTAAAAATACAAAAATTAGCCAGGTGTGGTGGCATATGCCTGTAGTCCCAGCTGCTAGGGAGGCTGAGGCAGGAAAATCACTTGAACCCAGGAGGCAGAGGATGCAGTGAGCCGAGATCACGCCATTGCACTCCAGACTGGGCAGCAAGAGCAAAACTCTGTCTAAAAAAAAGAAAACTGTACAAACACATTTTATACTCTTTGGTGTGTGTATATATATGTAGATTTAGAGACAGGGTCTCACTCTGTCACCTAGGCTGGAATACAGTGGCACTATTGTAGTTCACTGCAACCTCAAACTCCTGGACTCAAGCGATCCTCTCACCTCAGCCTCCTGAGTGGCTAGGACTACAGGCATGTGTCATCACACCTGGCTAATGTTTGGATATATATATATTTTTTGTTGTTGTTGTTTTTGAGATGGAGTCTTGCTGTGTTGCCCAGGCTGATCACGAACTCCTGGCCTCAAGTGATCCTCCCACCTTGACCTCCCAAAGTGCTGGCATTATAGGCATGAGCCACCATGCCCAGCCTGATATATTTTAAAAATATAACCTGTAGTATTTTTAAGAGAGGATAGGAAATGTTTTGAAATTAGGTAAAGGGGATTACGGTATTTAAAATCATTGCCTAAGAGTATTTAGAGAATATTTCACTTTCTACGTTAAGACCTCTCCATTAAATCAGTTTTAGAGTGCAAGTTGGGAGAAAGTACAGAGACCTTAAAGAGCATCTCTGATATAGGAGCTTAAATGAAGTGAAGGAGACTCTGGGTCCCGCACCTGTAGTGTTCTTCTTCTGTCCTCGCTCCCTCTTTGCTTCCTTAAATTTTTAGTCATCCACTCTCAAGTCTGGGGCCTTGTCCTAGGGGCTGACTGGACAGAAGAGCTAATGCCCCTGTCATGACACAGCATTTTTCAAACTCTTGCTTAGAGACTTTGTTATAGTAGCCTCCTAAACTAACTCATTATCAAAATTCACTTCAGGTCCAAGTCATAATCTGAGATCTTTTAAGGAAATCCCTTATTCATGTGTTTAGACAACCTAATTGGATACATAGTTTTAAAATTTTTAGGGTAATCTCTTTTTTGGTTTCTCCTAGGCCTTAGTTAATACTCTAATTACATGTCTTTATTTCAGTCTTTTTTCCTTCCCATACATACCAAGCTGCCCTTGATGTGCCTTAATTATTTGGAATTCATCTTGATGTATTGATTTTACCTTTCTATTTCATGGCTATTATTTTTAGGATGGAGCTAAAGTAGTCTGTGTGATAATGCATTTCACATACATTGCATGAATTAATGGCAGATATAGCAAAAAATCATGAAATTAATACATGGATGACAGATGCAGTGTTTCATTATAAAGGTAAAAGTAAGGTGTTCTCTTTGATGTCCTCTGATTGCATCTACTTGTAATCCTCAAAAAAAAAAAGATTTATATGGTTTTACTAGGTAGGTAAAAGCAATCTGGAAAATTCATCTAGGTAAATAATTTGTTCAAATACAAAGATGAATAAGATGTAGATCCTACCCCTCAGAAGCAGCAGTATAACAGAGATGGACAAACAAATTAAAAATTGCAGTATGGGGCCAGGCACGGTGGCTCATGCCTGTAATCCCAGCACTTTGGGAGGCTGAGGCAGGTGGTTCACGAGGTCAGGAGATTGAGACCATCCTGGCCAACCAGGTGAAACCCCGTATCTACTAAAAATACAAAAATTAGCCAGGCATGGTGGCACGCGCCTGTAGTCCCAGCAACTCAGGAGGCTGAGGCAGGAGAATTGCTTGAACCCGGGAGGCGCTGGTTGCAGTGAGCCGAGATCACCCCACTGCACTCCAGCCTGGTGACAGATAAATAAATAAAAGCTCTCCCTCTCCCCTCTCCCGTCTCCCATCTCCCCTCTCGCTCTCGCTCTCTGTCTCCCTCTTTCTACCGTCTCCCTCTCTTGCGGAGCCTGGACTGTACTGCCATGATCTCGGCTCGCTGCAACCTCCCTGCCTCGGGCTCCGGTGATTCTCTTGCCTCGGCCTGCTGAGTGCCTGGGATTCCAGGCACACGCCGCCACTCCTTAGGGGTTTTTGTGTTTTTGGTGGAGACGGGGTTTCGCCGTGTTGACCGGGCTGGTCTCCAGCTCCTGGCCTCGGGTGATCTGCCCGCCTCGGCCTCCCGAGGTGCTGGGATTGCAGACGGAGTTTCACTCACTCATTGCTCAATGTTGCCCAGGCTGGAGTGCAGTGGCGTGATCTCGGCTCGCTACAACCTCCACCTCCCAGCTGCCTGCCTTGGCCTCCCAAGGTGCTAAGATTACAGCCTCTGCCCGCCCGCCACCCCGTGTAGGAAGTGAGCAGCATCTCTGCCTGGCCGCCCATTGTCTGGGATGTGAGGAGCCCCTCTGCCCGGCCGCCCCGTCTGGGAGGTGAGGAGTGCCTCTGCCCGGCCGCCACCCCATCTAGGAAGTGAGGAGCATCTCTGCGTGGCCGCCCATCGTCTGGGATGTGAGGAGTGCCTCTGCCCGGCCGCCCCGTCTGGGAAGTGAGGAGCGCCTCGGCCCAGCCGCCCCGTCTGGGAGGAAGTGGGGAGCACCTCTGCCCGGCTGCCCCGAATGGGAGGTGAGGAGCGCCTCTGCCTGGCCGCCCCCTCTGGGAGGTGAGGAGCGCCTCTGCCCGGCTGCCCCATCTGGGAGGAAGTGAGAAGCGCCTCTGCCTGGCTGTCCCGAATGGGAGGTGAGGAGCACCTCTGCCTGGCCGCCCCCTCTGGGAGGTGAGGAGCGCCTCTGCCCGGCCGCCCCGTTTGGGAGGAAGTGAGGAGCACCTCTGCCCGGCTGCCCTGAATGGGAAGTGAGGAGTGCCTCTGCCTGGCCACCCCCGTCTGGGAAGTGAGGAGCGCCTCTGCCCGGCAGCCACCCCGTCTAGGAAGTGAGGAGCGCCTCTGCCTGGCCGCCCATTGTCTGGGATGTGAGGAGCCCCTCTGCCCGGCCGCCCTGTCTGGGAGGTGAGGAGCGCCTCTGCCCAGCTGCCACCCCGTCTAGGAAGTGAGGAGCATCTCTGCGTGGCCGCCCATCGTCTGGGATGTGAGGAGCGCCTCTGCCCGGCCGCCCCGTCTGGGAAGTGAAGAGCGCCTCTGCCCAGCAACCCTGTCTGGGAGGAAGTGGGGAGCGCCTCTGCCTGGCTGCCCCGAATGGGAGGTGAGGAGCGCCTCTGCCTGGCCGCCCCCTCTGGGAGGTGAGGAGCACCTCTGCGCGGCCTCCCCGTCTGGGAGGAAGTGAGGAGCGCCTCTGCCCGGCTGCCCCGAATGGGAGGTGAGGAGCACCTCTGCCTGGCCACCCCCGTCTGGGAAGTGAGGAGCGCCTCTGCCTGGCTGCCACTCCGTCTAGGAAGTGAGGAGCGTCTCTGCCTGGCCACCCATAGTCTGGGATGTGAGGAGTGCCTCTGCCCGGCTGCCCCGTCTGGGAGGAAGTGAGGAGTACCTCTGCCCGGTTGCCCCGAATGGGAAGTGAGGAGCACCTCTGCCCGGCTGCCCCGTCTGGGAAGTGAGGAGCACCTCTGCACGGCCACCCCGTCTGGGAGGTGAGGAGCGCCTCTGCCCGGCCGCTCTTCGTCTGGGAGGTGAGGAGCGCCTCTGCCCGGCCGCTCTTCGTCTGGGAGGTGAGGAGCACCTCATTGTCTGGGCGGTAAGGAGCGCCTCTGCCCACCCGCTCTTCATCTGGGAGGTGGGGAGTGCCTCTGCCCGGCCGCCCCGTCTGGGAAGTGAGGAGCGCCTCTGCCCAGCCGCCCCATCTGGGAAGTGGAGGGCACCTCTGCCCGGCCGCTCTTCGTCTGGGAGGTGGGGAGTACCTCTGCCCGGCCACCCTGTCTGGGAGGTGAGGAGCGCCTCTGCCCGGCCGCCCATCGTCTGGAATGTGAGGAACGCCTCTGCCCACCCGCCACCCTGTCTGGGAGGTGAGGAGTGCCTCTGTCCGGCCGCCACCCCGTCTGGGAGGTGAGGAGCACCTCTGCCCGGCCGCCCCGACTGGGAAGTGAGGAGTGCCTCTGCCCAGCCGCCCCGTCTGGGAAGTGAAGGAGCGCCTCTGCCAGGCCGCCCCATCTGGGAAGTGTACCCAGCAGCTCCGAAGAGACAGCGACCACTGAGAACAGGCCATGACGACGATGGCGGTTTTGTCGAAAAGAAAAGGGGGAAATGTGGGGAAAAGAAACAGAAATCAGATTGTTACTGTGTCTGTGTAGAAAGAGATAGACATAGGAGACTCCATTTTGTTCTGTACTAAGAAAAATTCTTCTGCCTTGGGATGCGTTAATCTATAACCTTACCCCCAACCCCCTGCTCTCTGAAACATGTGCTGTGTCCACTCAGGGTTAAATGGATTAAGGGCGGTGCAAGATGTGCTTTGTTAAACAGATGCTTGAAGGCAGCATGCTCCTTAAGAGTCATCACCACTCCCTAATCTCAAGTACCCAGGGACACAAACAGGGCCGAAGGCCAAAGGCCGCAGGGACCTCTGCCTAGGAAAACCAGAGACCTTTGTTCTCGTGTTTATCTGCTGACCTCTCCACTATTATCCTATGACCCTGCCACATCCCCCTCTCTGAGAAACACCCAAGAATGATCAATAAATACTTAAAAAAAAATTAAAAAAAAAATAAACGCTGCATTTCCAAAAAATAAATAAATAAATAAATAAATAAATAAAAATAAAAATAAAAATTGCAGTGTAGCAGCAGTATAGCATGGTGAGTGCAACAGTGGAAACAGGTACAGGTAAATGGGTAGCCTGGAAAGGCACTTGCTGTCGTATGGAGCAGTGAGGAAAGTCTTCACAGAGGAAAGGATGCTGACCAGCAGGCTTGAGAGATGAGAAAAAAATGTACAGAAAGATAGATTGGGAAAGGGAGACCTGGGAAAGGCACATGCCAAGATACAGAGACCTAAAAGAACACAGTGTATTTTGAGTCAACTGTGAGCAGCTTATCACTTAACGTGAGTGGGAAGTAGAAAGAGAGAGAGGCAGGAGTCAGGTGTGAAAGCTTTTGTATGGAAAATGAAGGCATTTATTTAGATCTCATTCTGTAAGTGACTATCAGCCTTTGATGGATGTTAAGCAGAAGAGTGACATGATCTCTGGGGGCAGTGCAGAAACGGTTTTAATAGGGGAAGAATCAGCGTCACATCACGACTTGTTGGGCAAAAGGAAAATGGAAAGAAGTTAGGGGAGAAGTTGAGAATTTCTATGTTTCGTTTTATATACTTTCAGGAAATTAGGTTACATCTAGACTTTTCCCAGAATGTTTTTCTTTTCTTTTCTTTGAGATGGGGTCTCACTCTGTCGCCCAGGGTGGGGTGTAGTTGGCACAATCTCAGCTCACTGCAGCCTCGTCGGCCCGGGCTGAAGCGATCCTCCCACCTCAGCTTCCCGAGTCACTGGGATTATAGGCACATGCCACCGCACCAGCTAATTTTTTTGATACTTTTTGTAGAGACCGGGTTTCGCCACGTTGCTTAGGCTGATCTCAAACTCCTGGGCTCAAGAGATGCACCCGCCTCTGCCTCCCAAAGTGCTGGGATTATAGGAGTGTGCCACTGTGCCTGACCAAGTTTTCCCAGAATTTAGTATGTTGACGGGAATAGTAGAAGGTGATTTGGAGCCAATATACGAAGTTTCTGAAGAAATTGTATTATTTAGTCTTTATTATAAAGTATTCATTAACTGTGCCTATATGGTCTTTCAGGCAAACAGATTTTTACTTTGTGTTAAAATACTACAACAAGCAGCATATAGAAGTCTATTGGGGACGTGGCATTGATGAGGCAGACAGCTGCAGCCATGTTTTATTTTCCAATTAAAGTGGCACATATGATAATAAACTGCAGAGGCAGCAGAATGAAATATTTAAACTTTTTTACAGTTAATATCCTGCCAAGAAAATCTCAGATAACAGTGTTATTTTAGGGGAATTGGGTGGACGGTATAATCTGTATAAAAGGAGCCTCCTTTAAATATGAGTTTTAGAAGTGAATGTTCTGTGTAACCTAATTGTGGCATGTTGCTTACTTTTGTGCTTATTTATGATTAAATCTTAGACTTGGTAGTCTTTGGTGGATATTATTCTACCTTCCAGAAGAATGTATTGGTATGCCAACTTATTTTTGTAATATAGAGTCCTGGGTCTGGTGCTGCCTGTGTATTGTGAATGTACTCTGTATCTGTATCTGACTGCATAACCAGACCCCTAATATCAAATGTTCTGCCTCATGTTTATTTGGGAATATCCTAACATCTTGGGGATGTGACTTACTTAGCTAATTTGCTAACATCCATAAGCTGTGTGCTCTTAGCCTTTTAGTATCGTAGCCCATCAAAAAGTTCTTTTTTTTTTTTTTTTTTTTTGAGACAGAGTTTTGCTCTTGTTGCCTAGGCTGAAGTGCAATGGCGTGATCTTGGCTCACTGCAACCTCCGCCTCCCAGGTTCAAGCAATTCTTCTGCCTCAGTTCCCATGTAGCACGGATTACAGGCATGCACCACCATGCCTGGTTAATTTTGTATTTTTAGTAGAGACATGGTTTCAACATGTTGGTTGGGCTAGTCTCAAACTCCCAACCTCAGGTGATCCACCTACCTTGGCCTTCCAAAGAGCTGGGATTATAGGTATGAGCCACCGTGCCTGGCCTCCATCAAAAAGTTCCGACTCTGATCAGGAAATTAATGTTAACATCTTAGCAAAAAGGATCCAGAAGCATCAAAGGAGGGAGTTCTTGCCAAGAGTACATAGAGATGTCCAGAAGGAAAGTTGACATTACTTGATAGTGTGACTTTATAGTAAACATGAGGGAGGAACTGCAGAAATGAAGGACCACAGATGACCTTGGAACAACTGGAGGTTCCTTTCTGAAAGGCCCAATGATATTGATGTAATGAAACTTGATTTGTATTTGAAAAGATGTTTTTACACTCTTGTCACAAAGTTTTTTTCTTTTTTGAAGTTCCTTTCATTCTTTTGAAGGGTTAATTCCTTACTATTTTCTGCTTTGACACAGAAATCTCCTGCAAAGAAGCTGAGCCATGCAATTAGTAAATCTTTGGGGTGTGTACCCACGAGAGAACCCCCGCATCCTGTTTTTCCTGAGCAACCAGAGAAACCACTTGACCTTGCACATATAGTGTAAGTATACCCCTGGATGTGCATGTGGATCACACTGAAATGGGGGCCTTGTGAAATTCCTGTGGATCAAAACCAGGGATCACTTAACATGACCATTCAACTTCTCAGGTTTTTACTTTCTTTTGTGGGAACTTAAGACTTCAAGCTTTCTTCTCTGTAAATCACCGTTAAGTGTCCACATGGAAATCTAGCTCCTGATTGCTGAAGCCTGAGTAATATGGCAGCCTCCAGAAACATGAGCCCATTGAAGAGCCATTATTGTTCTGGTTTTAGCTGGGCTGCCTTTTGTGATTTTGGGTTCATTCCTTAAATCAGTGGCAGAGATCTTTTTCTCTATAGCAGTAATGCCCATAGGGACTTAAATTAATGTAGACAACATGGAAATGAAAATCAACTTAATTTGCTGTTTTTTGTATTGAGGGAAAATTAGGAAACATAAGACTATATTCTACAAATAAAACTGGTATTTTGTATGTATTTATTTATATGTATTTAGTTGAATATTCATGCTAGTAAAGCAAAGCTAGAGGAGAACAATAAAGTTGAGAAATAGAGAAAGAACAAAGTAGGGAGGAAGAGAAACAGTGAAGGGTAAGATTCAGCCTGTAAACTGCTTTCTTCACTCTGAATTAAATGATGATACTATGCTTCCCTGATGAATAAATTTGGTAGAGTTTTGGATCACGAATCTTTATCAGGTGTCAGAAGTTTTTCTGTTGGAGTGGGCATTCATTTTCTTTCACCTCCCTGATGGAAGGTAGTTTGACTAAATGAGCTCTAGAGAATCTTGATCTTTTTTCCTTTTTTCTTTCAATTATTTAGATACCTGTTTATATTTATTAAAATAATCCATGCATGTGAATTACAAATTCATTCATCCATAAGAGCTTATAATGAATGCAACATACCCTCCCACACTTCGCTGTCCTTTGGGTTTTAAATCTACTAATAGTTATCTCTGTATTTCTAAATAATATGTTTGGAGCACCATTTCTTGACTTATCAGTTTTAGACATTATTATCATTATTATTTTTTGAGACAGGGTCTCGCTTTGTCACCTAGTCTGGAGTGCAGTGGTGTGATCTCGGCTCACTGCAGCCTCCACCTCCCAGGTTCAAGTGATCCTCCCACTTCAGCCTCACAAGTAGCTGGGACTATAGGTGCAGGCCACCATGCTCAGCTAATTTTTTTTAATTTTTAGTAGAGACGGTGTTTTGCCATGTTGCCTAGGTTGGTCTTGAACTCTGGGTTCAAGTGATCCACCTGCCTCAGCCTCCCAAAGTGCTGCGATTACAGGCATGAGCCACTGCGCCCAGCCAGTTTTAGACATTATTGACTTACTTTTGTGGTGTAATGAATCAGCCTCATCTCTAACTCTACATACCAACCCATCCCTGTTTTTCATAATTATATCACCATTTTTAAGTTGGTTACCTTTTTAATTTTAAATAATATTTTAAAAACTCTATTTCTTAATAACTTCTTTTTGACTTCCACTTTGTAAACAGAAAATTAGCACCTTCTGTCTACTTTTCCTTTGCCTCCTAACGTCTGCCATCTGTGCCCTTATTTTTATGTTGTCAAAGCTGAGAATGTTTCTATTCTCTTCGATAACCATAACTAAGTCTTCTGAGATTGATCAAGGGTTAAATCTAATAAAGCCAAATAATGGCATTTACAGTTAGTATCCTTCATTACACAGTCACATAGTGTGCTGCAATTCTGTGGATCCTTTTGTGCAGTTACTGTCTCATTGGAGTTCACTGGGCTCTTCTTTCTTACCTACCATTGATTACCGAAAATCATTCCTATTGAATTTTTAACTGGATTGATTTTCTTGTACAGTTGTTGTTTTTCCTGCGGTTTCTCATTGCTTTCTTCTTCTTGGGAAAAAAGATGTCTCCCACCCCTACACAGTGTTCCATAGCACAGTTTATCTGTTCCCCATAATGCAATTTTTTTTTTTGTTAAATCTGTTAACCTTTTTCCCTTTTGGGTCGTGTTTTTCCTTGCCTGCCTCTCAACATTATAGTGGTTTTCTCCTTACTTTTTTCTTTAGGTTTTAAAGATGGCCCTTTCACATATGTCTTTAATTCATTTGGAATGGATTTTTGTGTGTGATGTGATGTAGAATATCCAGTTCTCTTCCCCAGCCGCTCGCTTTCTGCATTTGAATAATAACTTGTCTCAGGGTCATTCATTAGATAATTCAACATTTCCCCACTGACTACAATGCCACCATTGTCAAAAATGAAGTTTCCAAATACGCACAGGCTGGCTTCTGGTTTCTTTATTCTGCTCCTTTGGTCAAATTGTCCATCCCTATGCCAATATCTCACTGTCTTAATTACCATAAGGAACTAAGTAATCTACTTTTTCTGGAGTGTCTTGTCTATTATTAGCTCTTTGCTCTTTCATATAAAGTTTAGACTCATCTTATTGAGTTCCTCATAACATTTTGTTGAGATTTTTGATCAGAGATTCACTGAATCTAAAGATCAAATTGGGGAGAATTGACATCCTTCTGGTATTAAAGCTTTCATTCCATGAATGTGTCTTTGCATTTATTTAAATATCTTTTTATACCTTTAAGTAAAGTTTTATAATTGTTCCCCAGGAAAGTCTTTATATATTAGGTTAACTCTCATGTCACTTGACATTTGTAATTGCTGTTACAAAAAGTATCAGTAGTGTCCTTTTTCCTACAGCTATTTAAGATATACTTTACATGCAATAAAATACACCTACTTTAAGTGTACAATTCGATGTGTTTTGGTAAGCGTATGCTGTTATGCAAATGGAATATTTTCTGAATTATATTTCTTAACAGTTTGTTACTAGTGTATGGAAATGCAAATAGTTTTTGTATTTTAGTCCACTGTCTATGTAGTTATCTTGCTTAAATTGTTCGTTAATTCTGGTACCTTATACTCAGATTCTTTTGAATTTTCTATAAATAATTATATAATCGGCAAATAATGACTGCTTTGTGTCTTCCCTTCTGTACCTTATACTTTTGAAAATTAATCATACTTTTTGCAGGGCTAGCAGCATACTATGCTGGCTAGCCCCTCCGGTGCAATACTGAATAGAAGTGGTTTAGAAGGCATTTTTGTGTTATTACTAATCCCACAGAGAATGCTTTCAGCATTCATTTAGTATGTTATTTGATGTAGGTTTTGTAGAAACTATTTATCGGGTTTAAGAGGTTCCCTTTTATTTCTAGTTTGCTAGAAATAAAAATGCTTTCTTTTTGTCATGAATGGATGCTGAATTTTATCAAAGAGTTTTTCTGTATTGAGATGATTATATGATTTTCTCTATTGATGATCAAAGACTTTTTCTTTATTCTGTTATTGTAGTGAATTACATTAATTGTTTTTTAGCATCATCTTTACCTTCCCAGAATAAATCTGAGTTGGCCATTGTTTGAATACACTGCTAGGTTTTGTTTGCTAATATTTTGTTTAGATTTTGGCTATGTTTTTGAGTGAAACTGGCCTGTAACTTCCCTAGATTTGGGGGTTATTTTTATTTTGTTGTTTTTATCACCCAGTGTGTGATTCTTGCAAAATGGGGGAGCATTCTCTCTTTTCATATTTTTGGAAGAGCTTGTTCAAGATTTGGAAGGGTTATTTTCTTTGTAAATTTTTTATGAAACTCACTAATGGAGCCATCTAAGCCTGAAGATTTCTTTGTGGGAAGATTTTTAACTGGTAATTCCATTTTTAAAAAACAATTAGACTATTTTTATTGTTTATTTATTTTTGAAGTTACCTTGGAGTATTTTGTATTGGTAGGAATTTATTAATTTTCTCTCAATTTTAAAGGTTATTGATACAACGTTCATAATATTTTATTGTCTTTGTAAGTCCACAGTATGTGTGCTAATGGGCCTTTTTTATTTCCACTCTCGTGTATTTATGGCATTTTTTCTTTCTCTTTTTTTTTTGAGACAGAGTCTCAGTCTGTCGCCAGGCTGGAGTGCAGTGGCAATCTCAGCTCACTGCAACCTCCCCCTCCCGGGTTCAAGTGATTCTTCTGCCTCAGCCTCCTGAGTAGCTGGGACTACAGGCATGCGCTAGCACGCCCAGCTAATTTTTGTAATTTTGGTAGAGACGGGGTTTCACCATGTTGGCCAGAATAGTCTTGATCTCTTGACCTCTTGATCCACCCCCTTTTGGCCTCCCAAAGTGCTGGGATTACAGGCGTGAACCACCGTGCCCAGACTCCTTTTCTAATTTCTTTAAAGGCATGGTTAGCTTACTCATTTCAGGTTTTTTAATTTTTTTATTTTTTCCCCCTAGTAGAAGCATTTAAGGCTGTAAATGTATCTGAACCCTATCTGGGTATTACCCAAGTTTTACTGTATAATATTTTTTGTTGTTTACTTCTAAATATTTCCCAAGTTATGTTAGGATTCTTCTTTGAGAAGTATACTTTCTTAATTTCCAAACATATAGAGGTTTTCTAGTTGCCTTTTTGTTATTAATTTATAACTTACTTTTAGTCTGGAAAATGGTCTGTATTTTTCAGTTTTTTAAAATTGGTTAAGACATTTGTTATTAACATCATTACTATGATATGTGGACTTTTTCCACCATTTTATTTGTGCTATTTATCATATTTTTTAAAATTCCCCTTTATGGAAATGTCCCACTCGAGTCACCTTTTCCCCTATAGATAACCATTCTAATGTGCTCGTCGTGTATGTTTTTGTTAGCATACGTTCTTAAAAAGTATTGTTCTGTATGTCCCTTTAAGATATTTATTTATGGCTGGGCATGGTGGCTTACACCTGTAATCCCAGCACTTTGGGAGGCCAAGGTGGGTGGATCATCTGAGGTCAGGAGTTTGAGACCAGCCTGACCAACATGGTGAAATCCTGTCTCTACTGAAAATACTAAAATTAGCCAGGCGTGGCGGCCAGTGCCTGTAATCCCGGCTACTCGGGAGGCTGAGGCAGAAGACTCACTTGAACTTGAGAGGCAGAGGTTGCAGTGAGCTGAGATCGCGCCATTGCACTCCACCCTGGGTGACAAGGGTGAAACTCTGTCTCAATTAAAAAAAAAAAAATATATATATATATATATATATATATATATATATTTATATATATTTATAAGTGCTATTGTGAACAGCATTTTACCTGTCCGTTCTCCCTGAGGTGGACACGTTGGTTGCTTTTAGACCTCTGCCTCCACATATAATGCCACAGTGTATGGCATGTTTCCCCCATGGAGCTGCATGAGAGTTTCTATGTATTAATATCTAGGATACAGTTCTGGGGTCAAAAGTTCTGTGAATCCTGACCAGGAGAAGTATGTTGGAGAATCCAGTAGTTTTAGCATAGAATTTCACTTAATCTCTTCGTTTTCATTCAGGCTCCATACCCCTGCCTCCACCTGGGGCTCCTGAGCTCAGGGGCTTTCTGCTTAGTTTGACTTGAGAGTAACCTCTGGTTTCCTGGTGGGCCTAGAAAGGAGTAGTCATCTGGCAATGTGGTGTTGGGAGTGTGGCTGGAGGTGGTGGGGATTGGGTGGGAATTTGCTGCTTCTTATCCATTCTTTCAACCAGTCCTCTTATCTTAATGCAACCTCTCACCCCTCCTTCAGAGGTTCCAGGCCTTTCTGTGGCTCCACTTCCCTGTCTTTGGGTGAACCTGACTTCACGTTTCTTCTATTTAAAAAGCCCTCCCCATATCGAGTTTTCTGTTAGAAATTTAAGTAAAAATGCAGCTGGGACTGAGAGCTAAGAATTAGAACTTGGATTTTTCCTTATTAATTCTTATTTTATTCTATATATTTGCCTTGGATTTTTTTTTCTTTTTTTTTTGAGACGGAATTTCGCTCTTGTTGCCGAGGCTGGAGTGCAATGGAGCGATCTTGGCTCACTGCAACTTCCACCTCCTGGGTTCAAGCGATTCTCCTGCCTCAGCCTCCCGAGTAGCTGGGATTACAGGCATGTGCCACCACCCCCAGCTAATTTTATATTTTTGGTAGAGGTGGGGTTTCACAATGTTGGCCAGGCTGGTCTTGAACTTCTGACCTCAGGTGATCCACCTGCCTCAGCCTCCTAGGATTACAGGTGTGAGCCACTGCGCCCAGCTTGGATCTTTTTTAAAAAATGAATAAAACATTGTAGATAAAACTGTGGTCTCCTGTGTCCCTCTTCCTCATCTAATCACGCTTTCCTTTTCCCAAAGGGTAGCCACTATCATTTGTTTGGTATTCATGATTTTATACTTTTTAAACTACTTTTATTAGATATTTATACATCTATAAAAATCAGATATGTTAAAACTGTATATAAATGGTCATGCTCTACATGTCGTTCTGTAAGTTTATTACTTTATTAAGTAATATGTTTTTGAAATTTATCCAAAATCTCCAATGGTATTCCATTGAATGACTTTACCACGAGTAATTCATTCTTCATTGCTGGACATTATTTCCGATTTTTCACTATAGCCTACAGTGCTGCTTTGAGCATTCTTGTATGGAGAAATCCTGTAAGGTAGGAGGCTAACTACTGGGTCCTGGGATATGAATATTACATATTCAGGATAGCACGAGTAATAATATAGTAGCAGATTAACCACCAGATCTCAGTGGTTCAGCTCATAAATGTTTGTTTGTTACTCACACCCAGTCCGTTGTGGACTGGAATGACTGGAGCAGCCAACCTGGGCAGTGGTTCGATGGTGTAGGCTGCTTTACTCTTGTGGCTCCACCATCTTCACACGAGCCCTCCTCATTGCTGCAGCAGGGGAAGAAAGCGTAGGGACAGCTCAGAGCCATTCTTCTGTGCTTTGGTTCAGAAATGACACATACCACCTGCCTCACAGCCCCACCTAATTTCAAGCCTGAATAGCCTTCTGTGTACCTAGGGAGGAGAGGAGAACCAGATACTGGTCAGCTGTAGTAACTTGTTCTACAAATGTCTTCAACTCTACAAGATACTACCTAGAATTCAGATTTTATAGTTTAACTATTTATCAGTCCGAATTACTCCCAAGCCAAGAATATAGTCAGCAGACCACCCCCCCCACCAAAAAAAAAAAAAAAAAAGCTCTGGTAGATTCTCTTTCAGATTTAGATGAGATGTTGAGCAGTTAATCCTATTTAGTTTGACTAGATAACTTTTGAGGATCCTTTCAACTTTGAGTTTCTATGTCTTACAGATTTTTTTTTCTGTATTCAATACGTGTTAATGGTTCCCAAACTTGGCTGATACCAAGATCAATCAGAAGGCCTTAAAAAGTACAGAAGGGCCGGGCACGGTGGCTCATGCCTGTGATCCCAGCACTTTGGGAGGCTGAGGCAGGCGGATCACCTGAGGTCCGGAGCTCAAGACCAGCCTGGCCAACATGGAGAAACCTCATCTCTACTAAAAATACAAAATTAGCTGGGTGTGGTGGTGCATGCCTGTAATCCCAGCTACTCGGGAGGCTGAGGCAGGAGAATTGCTTGAACCTGGGAGGTGGAGGTTGCGGTGAGCCAAGATCACGCCATTGCACTCCAGCTTGGGCAAGAAGAGGGAAACTCTGTCTCAAAAAAAAAAAAAAAAAAAAAGTACAGATGACCAAGTTACTTCCATTCTAGGTCAACTTAACCATAATTCTGGAAGTGGCCTAAGAATCCACCTTTTGAAAAAGTTCCCTAATACATCTGATCAGTTTACAGAACCACTGCATTAGGAGGACATAAAGAGTTTTAGTTATATGAAAGCAAACTAAAAATTCAACACTAAGTATTAAGAAATGTTCAGAGTGCAATGCAGAGTACAAATACAAACATATGAGTAGCAGTTCTTTTTTTTTTTTTTTTTGGAGACAGAGTCTTGCTCTGTCGCCCAGGCTGGAGTGCACTGGTGTGATCTCAGCTCACTGCAACCTCCGCTTCCCAGGCTCATGCAATTCTCATGCCTCAGCCTCCTGAGTAGCTAGGACTACAAGTGCGTGCCACCATGCCTGGCTAACTTTTTGTATTTTTTGTAGAGATGGGGTTTCGCCGTGTTGGCCTAGCTGGTCTCGAACTCCTGACCTCAAGCAATCTGCCTGCCTTGGCCACCCAAAGTGCTGAGATAACAGGCGTGAGCCACTGCACCCAGCCATGAATAGCAATTCTTAACGCTTGCTAAGATTCTTAATTATTCATTAATTCAGCAAATACTTATTGAGGACCTTCTAGCTACTCTGCAAGGTGCTAACAGTGTTCACATAGTACTTTGTGCATTTGCAAATAGGTTTGAGTGTTTGCAAATAGGTTTGAGTGAGAGTGAAGAAGCCAGTTTTATATAGTTGCAGTAGGCTAACCAGAATTTAGTTCATGAGATCCTTTTAATTGAAGGTTAATGCTGTTGATAGACTTTTCTGATAGGCTCACCAATATTTCCTTTTGTGTGTAGCCAGCAAAATAATAAATTAGTACAAATCGAAGTCTGACTCTTTAGAAAATGTGTGGACTCCAGGCCTGGTGCGGTGGCTCATGTCTGTAATCCCAGCACTTTGGGAGGCCAAGGTGGGTGGATCACCTGAGGTCAGGAGTTCAAGACTAACTTAACCAATATGGTGAAACCCCGTCTCTACTAAAAATACAAAAATTAACTGGGCGTCGTGGTAGGCCCCTGTAATCCCAGCTACTTGGGAGGCTGAGGCAGGAGAATTGCTTGAACCCAGGAGGTAGAGGTTGCAGCGAGCCGAGATTGCACCACTGCACTCTATCCTGGGCGACAGAGCAAGACTCCATCTCAAAAAAAAAAAAAAAAAGACCTCAGTTTGCCTTTCTGTAAAATGGTGTTAATAAAACCTGTCTTAATTGTCTCAGGATTTTTTTAAGATAATGTATGAGAAAGTGCTTTTAAGTGGCTAGAAGGCTATAAACTTTTAAAGTCTTTTCCTTCAAATAAAGTTAATCATGTCACAAAAATGTAAACTCCACAAAGGCTGGACTTTATCTTGTTCTCCGCCGAATTCCTATTACCTGAAATACTGCTTGGTGCGTGGTAGGCACCTAAAATGTATTGAGTGAATGAATTATACCCAACACAATTTATATACACAGGCATCTGACTCCTCCCCACCATTTATGTTTTTGCGTTTTGTTTTGGTTTTGGTTTTCTTTCAGAAAGTAATACAAGTCATGTACCTACAGTTTCCCAAAGCCACCACTAGATGTCAGGCATATTTCTTTGTGTTCCTTTCTGGGGGGTGGTGAGAATATTGAGTAAACAAGGTTTTTCAAATAAATTGCAAGACGTGTATTCAAAACAAAGCCAATTCACGTATCAGCACTCTAGCAACTTCTCTTACTTCCAGGTCTCTGAGAGAAATGAGTTGCTTCTTTTGGCAAAAACATATTTATACCACGTCTACCTCTGGATGCCTCTAACAGGCTTCCTGTGATCCGAATTCAAGCAATTTGCTCTTGCTAATTTTCTAACCACAGAGTTCTTAAGCCTAATCTCTTTAATTAGTGGTTAGTCACCATTGCATTTCAGTTTGTGTAGATTTATTTCTGAGGGGAAGCAAAACTTCACGTGTTGGCTTAGTGTGTCTATTACCCTGAATTCTAGCGAGAAAGAGCCCAGTGTCTTCCGCTGCACACACCTGGGATTCATCTTAATAGGGGTGGGCAAACTATAGCCTGCAGGCTAAGGCCAACCTGTCCCTCATGATCTAACAAGACCTTTACATTTTTAAATGTTTGAAGAGAAATAAGAATATTTTGTAAAGTGAAACTTACATGAAAATCACGTCAGTGTCCGTAAGTAAAGTTTTATTGGGACTGGCCTCAGTGGCTCACCCAGCATTTTGGGAGGCCAAGGGGAGTGGATCACTTGAGTTGGGAGTGGATCACAGGAGTTCAAGACCACCATGGCCAACATAGCGAAACCCCGTCTCTCCTAAAAAAATAAAAATTAGGCGGGTACAGTTGCATGCACCTGTAATCTCAGCTACTCAGGAGGCTGAGGCACGAGGATTGCTTGAGCCTGGGAGGCAGAGGTTGCAGTGAGCCGAGATTGTGCCTTTCCATCCTGGGTGACATAGCAAGACTCTGTCTTAAAAAAAAAAAAAAAAAAAATTATTGGGACACAGCCATACTCACTCATTTTTATGTTGTTTATGGATGCTTTCGAGCTCCAGTGGCAGAATTGAGTCATTAACGACTGAGACCAAATGGCCCTTAGAGCTTATATTATTTACTATCTGGCCCTGAAAAAGTTTGCCAACCCCTGCTCTCAAAGAAGGGTGTCTAAAAACTGCAAATTTAGGGCACTTTGTGCTTCTTTAGACTCTTTTTTCTGAATGATCATCATCTTTGGTTTGATGGCCCAAGTTGTTTTTTCACGCAGCGGTGAAGATAACACCTTTTGCTGAAGGACTCAGATAAAATTTGTTACCTAGAAACCAGACTGCCTCTTACTGACAGAAAGTCTTTTATTTGTTTCTTGCATCCTTTGCATACATAAATATATAGCATGTTTGAACAGCTAAGCCAACCAATTTTCTCCGCACATTGCATCAAAACAGAATTAACCTAGATAATTAAAAAATACTGTTATACTGTTATTTAAATTATACTGTAATTATAAAACTGTAATTACAGTAATACTTTAATGTGGCTCTAATTTGTTCTATTTTAACTGCTCTTCTGTTTAATACTGACTTAGACTCTGTGTATACATTACTTTGATATGAACTTAAAAAATCTGTTCTCTTTGTTGTTTTTTTCCTATACCTCATAAATCTTCTTTTTGAACTTTAGACAATTATGCTTTAAGTATCGGTGCTATCAGTGCTTATGAACTTTTTGGTAAAACACAAATATGCTTGTTTTCTACTTATTCATAACAACTTTAAATATATCAGCAGAATTCACCAGACCAGGAATAATATAAGACCATTTGTAACCCTGTGAAAGAACAAGTCTAACTTCTTGTTTATGTTGTTTAATTATTAAAGCACATTTTTGTGACACTTCTTTTAAAATGATGGATGAGTCTGGAGTTAAAAATGGCTTTTGTGACAAGGGCACTTATGGTGAATTGCCTTGCTGTTTACAGCCATTTTTAATTGTTTTGTTTGTTTGTTTGTTTGAGACGGAGTCTTGCTCTGTCGCCCAGGCTGGAGTACGGTGGCAGAATCTCGGCTCACTGCAACTTCCACCTCCCGGATTCAAACAGTTCTCCTGCCTCAGTCACCCAAGTAGCTGGGTCACACACCACGCCTGGCTAATTTTTGTATGTTTAGTAGAGACGGGGTTTCACCATGTTGTCCGGGCTGGTCTCAAACTCCTGACCTCGTCATCCACCCGCCTCGGTCTCCCAAAGTGCTGGGATTACAGGCGAGAGCCACTGCCCCTAGCCTACAACTTTAATAAGCCAATTTTTTTTTTCTGAAGAGAGTTATTAATTGGTTTTATTGTATTCTCCAATTATCGGGTGTTACAGAATTCATAATATTGATAAGTTAGTCTGGGTTGAAACACTGTCTTCCACAGTATTTATTGAGTGTGTATTGTGAGTTGGGCTTTCTTCTTTTGATGGGAGACTAGAGTCTTATTTGAGGAAACTGACAAGATGATACTTTTTTCTTAGACCTCTAGGTGAATCTGATGTTCCAATTGCTTGAAAGGAGTATCAGATTCATTCTAGGTATCTTGATCTCCTGAGACTGAACCTGTTTGGAAGATTGTAATCTTGAACCATTTCTGACAGGTAAATATGCAGGTTGAGCATCTCAAATCTGAAAATTCAAAATCTGGAATGCTCCAAAATCCGAAACTTTTTGAGTGCCGACGTGACAGTCCAAGGAAATGCTCACTGGTGCATCTCAGACTGTAGATTTTTGGAATTCGCATGGTCAACCAGGGTAAATAGAATGCAAATATTCCAAAATCCAAAATATGAAACACTCTGGTCCCAAGCATTTTGGATAAGGGATTCTCAACTTGTACTTTGATTCCTAGATCATAGCTCATCTGATATTAATTGTCTTGCATTTTGCTGTAATGATTTTTTGGGTTATTTGTTTTTTAGAGACAGGGTCAGCACCATAAGACAGAGTGAGAAAACAAAAGTAAAAAAAAAAAAAAAAAAAAGTAGAAACAGGGTCTTGATCTGTCACCGAGGCTAAAGTTCAGTGACATGATCACAGCTCATTGTAACCTCAAAACTCCTGGGCTCAAGAGATCCTCCTGTCTCAGCCTCCCAAGTAGCTAGGACTACAGGCACATGTCACCACGCCTGGCTAATTTTTATATTTTTTTGAAGTGATGGGGTCTTGCTATGTTGCCCACGCTAGTCTTGAACTCCTGGCCTCAAGAAGTCCTCACACCTCAGCCTCCCATAGCACTGGATTATAGACATGAGCCACTGTGCCTGGCCTGCTGTAATGATTTTGAAAAACTTACCGTTGGTGACATGATTTTGCTTACCAGTGGGCCATTAGGCACCTTGGGGTCTATTCAATTTGTCTTTTTGGTAAAAGAAGAGTTGCTTTTTGTTCTCCTGTATATATAGCCTAGAATGTGAAGGCCATTAGGTCACAGCTCATCTGATACTCTTTCTGGCTTGCATTTTGCTGGGATGAATTTGAAAACCTAGAAGGTGAGGAATACAGGGTTGTCTTAGGGCCTTGAGCTTCACTATGTCCTGGTATGAATGTTACCTGTTTTGCTCCGTTTCAGGCTGAAAGTCCCAGAATCATTCTTCTGAGCTTAAGGTTGCTTACTAGCCCTGGAATTATACCTCTCCAAAAAGGAAAGAAAGAGCAAAGAGGGCTATGCATCATCTAAGACAGTCCTAGAAATAGGATAACGTTTTTGCCTGAACCTCAGTATGTATGTGTGTGTGCATGTGTGTGTGTACGTGAGTGTGAGTGTGTGTGTGTTGGGGTGAGGGAGACGGGAACTTGCACTCACAAACTCACACATGTGCATATATATGTGTGGTACCTCTGTGTGTGTGTGTGAGAGACAGAGGGATGCTTATGTGAACAGTAAATGTGATGAGTATGGTGCAGTGAGGAGAAACAGCATTATGTAATACAACAAAACTCAGAACCATCAAGCTTTAGTCCAAGGAGGGTGATTATTTACAAGTGGCTATGACTTTGTTCTGCTGAGTTTCACTCTGCCCTTGAGATTTTCTCACCCTGTTTGCCATTATCCTACTATAAAGCTCTCTGCTTTTAAACTCAAAATCTCACAAAACTTCACAAATCATCATCCCTTAGTATTCTTTTTTTTTATTGTGGATAAAAAAATAATATAAAATTAACTATCTTAATTCTTTTAAGTGTACGGTTTTTAAGCGTACAGTTCAGTAATGGCAAGTGTAATCGTGTTGTTGTTAAACAGATCTTCAGAACTTTTTCCATACCCGTTAAACAGCAATGCCCTTTCCCTCCACCCCCTGTGACCACCGTTCTACTTTATGTTTCTATTAATTTGACTGCTTTACATACCTCATGTGAGTGGAATCATATGGTATTTGTCTTTTTGTGACTGGCTTATTTCACTTAGTATAATGCCCTCAAGGTTCTGTGTTGCAGTATCTGTGTTGCAGCGTGTGACAGGATTTCCTTCCTTTCTAAGGCTGAATGATATTCATTGTATGTAGATACCATATTTTGCTCATCCATTCATCCACCGTTGGTAAGATGTGGTACCTACATACAATGGAATATTATTTTGGGTGGCTTTCACCTCTGGGCTATTGTGAATAGTGCTGTTATGAACATGGATCTCTTGGAAACCCTGCTTTCAGTTCTTTTGTATGTATTCCTGGTAGTGGGATTGCTGGATCATATGTTCAATTTTTAATTGTTTGAGGATTCGAGGAACCCTCATATTGTTTTTTACAGAGATTGCACCATTTTATAATCTCACTAGTACTGCAAAAGAGTTCCAACTTTGCACATCCTTGCCAACACTTGTTATTCTATGTTGATTTGTTTTTATAGTAGCCATCGTAATGGGTATGGAGTAATATCTCATTGTGATTTTGATTTGTCTTTTTTTTTGAGGTGTAATTTATGTTCTGTAAATTTCACCCACTGTGACAGTTAAATTATTTTCAGTTAATTTATACAATTTTGCAACCATTGCCACCATCCTGTTTAAGAATATTTCCATCATCCAAAAAGTTCCCTCCTATCCATTTGTAGTCAATCCCAGCTCCCACTTCCAGCCCTAAGGCAATCACCAAACTACTTCCTGCTTTTTCTAGAAATTACACATAAACAGAATCGTACAATATGTAGTCTTTTGTTTCTGACTTATTTCATTTAGCATAATATTTTTGGGGTTTATCCATTTGTTTCAAGAATAAATAGGTCATTCTTTTTAATGTTGAAAATATCCTTTGCATGAATAGATCACATTTTGTTATCCATTCACCAGTTGATGAACATTGGTCTCATTTTTAGTTTTTGACTCTTATGAATAACGCTGCTATGAACATTCATGTCTTTCTGTAGACATATGTTTTCATTTGTCTTTAGTACATATCTGGGAGTAGAACTGCTGAGTCATGCAGTGCAAGCATATATTTAACTTTTTTATTTTTTTTTTGGATACAGGGTTTTGCTGTTGTTGCCCAGGCTGGAGTGCAATGGCACGGTCTTTGGCTCATTGTAACTTCTGTCTCCTGGGTTCAAGTGATTCTCCTTCCTCAGCCTACCAGATAGCTGGGATTACAGGCGCCCACCACCACGCCCAGCTAATTTTTGTATTTTTAGTAGAGACGGGGTTTCACCATGTTGGCCAGGCTGGTCTCGAACTCCTGACCTCAGGTGATCTGCTTGCCTCAGCCTCCCAAAGTGCTGGGATTACAGGCGTGAGCCACCATGCCCAGCCAAGGGTATGTTGAATATTTTAAGAAACTGCCAAACTGTTTTCTAAAGTGATGGGAGGCCGGGCACGGTGGCTCACACCTGTAATCCCAGCACTTTGGGAGTCTGGGGTGGGAGGATTGCTTGAGGCCAGGAGTTCGAGACCAACATGGGCAACATGGCAAAACCCCGTCTCTACTTAAAAAAGATACAAAAAAATTAGCGGGGTGGGGTGATGCATGCCTGTGGTCCCAGCTACTCAGGTGGCTGAGGTAGAAGGATGACTTGAGCCTGGGAGGTTGAGGCTGCAGTGAGCCAGGATTATACCACTGCACTCCAGCCTGGATGACAGAGTGAAACCCTGTCTCAACAAAGAAAGAAAGAAAGTGACAGGACTATTTTACAGTCCCACCAGCAATACTTAAGAGTTCCAGTCTCTCCACATTCTCATCAGCACTTGGTATATTGTCATTCTTTGGACTATAGCCATCCTAGTTAGTGAGTGGTAGGATCTTACTGTAGTTTTAATTCGTATTTCCCTAATGACTAATGATATTGAGTACCTTATCATGTACATATTAACCATCCACATATCTTCTTTGGTACAATTGTCTATTTAGATATTTTGCCTACTTAAAAATATTTACATAAACTTTTTATTTTAGTTTTAGATTTACAGAAGTTTCATAAATAGGACAGAGTTTCTGTACACCCTGCACTTAGTTTCCCCTGTTGTTAACATCTTAGAAATGAAGCAGCCAGGCGCAGTGGCTCATGCCTGTAATCCCAGCACTTTGGGAGGCCGAGGCAGGTGGATCAGCTGAGGTCAGGAGTTCGAGACCAGCCTGGCCAACATGGTGAAACCCCATCTCTACTAAAAATACAAAAAATTAGCCGGGCATGGTGGCGGGCTCCTGTAATCCCAGCTACTCAGGAGGCTTAGGCAGGAGAATTGCTCGGGAGGTTGTAGTGAGCCGAGATTGCGCCATTGCACTCTAGCCTGAGCAAGAAGAACAAGACTCAGTCTTAAATAAATAAATAAATAAATAAATAAATAAATGCATGGATATCCACTTGTCTAAGCACCAGTTGTTGAAAAGACCATTCCTTGCACCATTGAGTTGTCTTGCCATCTTTGTCAAAATCAACCGACTATAAATATGAGTTTATTTCTCAATTCTGTCCCATTGACCTATGTGTGTATCTGTCCTTATAGCTGTACCATATGATCTTGGTTACTATAACTTAACAGTAAGTTTTGAAATTGGGTAGTGTAAGTTCTCTTCTTTTTCAAAATTGTTTTGGGTATTTTAATCCTTTGCATTTCCACACACATTTTAGTCTATACCTGTCAATTTTAACAAAAGATTTTGATAGGGATTCTATTAAATCTGTTGAGCAATTCTCCTCTTCTTCCTTCTCATACTCTACCTTTCTTCTCCCTTGTTTTTTTTCGGTGTGTTTGTTCTGCTTTTTGTTTTTCTTGCCTTCTGTGTTTGCATTGAGTCCTGTATAGGGCACAGTCATCTTCTATGTATAACAAATCCTTAGCAGTAGCCACAACTGTGGATATATTCCCTTTGATTCAACCCACTTTTATATCCTGCTTAATGATAATAATGTCAATGAAAAATCCTTTTAAGATTTTTCAGCTGGGCGCGGTGACTCACGCCTGTAATCCCAGCACTTTGGGAGGCCAAGGCAGGCGGATCAGTTTAGGTCAGGAGTTGGAGACCAGCCTGGCCAACACGGTGAAACCTCATCTCTACTAAAAATACAAAAATTAGCCAGGCGTGGAGGTGGGGCCTGCAATCCCAGCTACTCAGGAGGCTGAGGCACAAGAATCGCTTGAATTCGGGAGGTGGAGGTTTCAGTAGCCGAGAGCCACTGCACTCCAGCGTGGGTGACAGAGCAAGACTCTGTCCCCACCAAAAAAAAAAAAAAAAAAAAAGATTTTTTTCAAAGATGTTTCTTTTTATGTGAACTTACAATACAAATCATCTGTTCCTAAAAGGGTGTTAGATGTATGCAAAGAAAATTCAGAGATGAAAATTCAGATCTAGTAAATTCGTTTAGCACTACAATATATTTGTCCTATGACATAACCCAGCACATGTCTTTTTTTGTTTTTGTGGGGGGTGGGGGGGCTTTTATCCCTTCAGTGACTTCCCCTTACACTTAAAAGCCGAAGTCTATACAATGGTCTACAAGGCCCCATAAAATCTGGTTCCTGGCAACCTCTCTAACTTTATTTCCTGCCACTTTCCCATTGCTCTATCCTCCTTTGTTATTCTGGTTTTGTTCCTTGCAAATACCAAGTGTGCGTCCACCTCAGGGCCTTTGCAACTACTGGTTCCTTTGCCTGATGTGCCCCTCATCCTCATACTCACATGGCTTATTTGTTTATGTTATTCAGATCTCTCCTTAAATGTTAGCTTCTCAGAGATACTTTCTGTAACTTTTTTATCTAAAATAGCACCATCAGTCACTCTGTTTCCTCTTACCTTGTTTCAGTTTCTGCATGACACTTGCCATTATATGACATTTTAAAAATTCATTTTTGTATTTGTTTATAATCTCTACCCTATTAGACTGTAAGTTCTTTGAAAGCAAGGCTTTTTTTTTTTTTTTCCCCACCAAACTCATTTTACTGCCAGAGACAAGGACTTTATTTTACTTCCTGCTCTATCTCCCTATCTGGCGTGGGTCTGGCAGATAGTAGATCTTAAATACTTACAGAATGCATAACTGCATGTGTATCTATATGTGTTCATGACTTACTAATAGTAGTGATATTCATGAGGCATTCAGGTTATTAAATGATATCAGTGTGTCAGAATGAGGCAGGCTTTATTTCTTGTGGGGTTTTTTTTTTTTTTTTGGTTGTTTTGTTTTGTTTTTTCTTTGAGATGGAGTTTTGCTCTGTCACCCAGGCTGGATGAAGTGCAGTGGTGTGATCTCGGGTTACTGCAACCTCCACCTCCTGGGTTCAAGCAGTTCTCCTGCCTCAGCCTTCCAAGTAGCTAGGACTACGGACACCCGCAGCCATGCCCAGCTAATTTTTTTGTATTTTTAGTAGAGACGGGGTTTCACCATGTTGGCCGGCTAGTTTCAAACTGCCGACCCCAAGTGATCGCCTGCCTCGGCCTCCCAAAGTGCTAGGATTACAGGCGTGAGCCACCAAGCCCGACCTATTTCCTGTGTTTTTACAGTGCTAGACCAATAATTCAAAAATTGAAGTTGAAAGCAATGGTTCTCTAGTTCATTATGATTGTTTTAAAAATCCTTAAAAAGTAATCATTCATAGTATTGGAGAAATTTGCTTCTCTTTGACATTTATTTCTTCCCTATCTAAACCTAAGTTATACCTGTAATATAATTTCATGCAGACATTGAGCCTCAGGATTGTATTTCATTTGAATGGAATTTCTTAATAGGATTTGTATACTGACTGCAATTTAGAATAATTTGAATATTTCTCCGCACCTTTGCAAGTCTTCACATTGCCCACTTTTGACTGGTGCCTGAGTTTAGAACCTGCTGTGTTAGCTCTCTTTCATTCTTCTCAAAACTCTGATCTGTCTACATATTTCTAACAAATTAATCTTCTTGAGTCACTGCCTTTGTCATATTACTTCCCTATTTAAAAATCTACAAAACCTCACTGCCTGTAGAATGAAGGAGGCACTCCTCGTGCTGGAATTCAAGGCCTGTGTAATCGGGACCCACCTTACTTTTGGAATCTTATCTTCTACTACTAATTTATGGAGGACAAAGCCTCTGCTCTGCCAGACCTGCTGCCTTCCTACCCTTTAAAACTTTATTGCCCTTTCCACCAAGCTAGCTCATGATGTCCCAGCCCGGCTACCTGCTTTCCTGAATGTCCTACTTGTCTCTTTCAGATTTACAGGTTTTCTATATCCTGGAGTCCAGTTTAAATCCTGGTATGTCCATGCAACCTTCCTTAAACCCTCCAAGTAGCTAACTCATATGGATCTCTTCTTTGCATTCCTAAATTCCTTGAGCTCTTATTGTTTTATCAGTCATTTGATCATCCAATAAAATGCTATCTCTTTCCTTAAGGATTTCTTGAGTATGTATTAAACCAGGACTTCTTGAAGATTGTAAGCACTTTCTTTGCACCTTCAACTTTTTAAGGGCTGGGATTGTACATCTTTAGTGCCTGGCAGATTCCATGTGTTTGTGGGACTGAACTTTATACTGATTTGTGTTTCTAGAGGATGGAGCACAATTGTAAATTCTAGTTGAATTAGGTTAAATTCAGCAACTTTCTTGTAGTCCCTCTGTTCAAGGTCACATTATAGGACCTTGCTTGTTGATTTGGTATGCTTTTGCTGGTCCTACTGACGCTTTGGAAGGCAACCAAAGAGTAGTTACTCAAACTGTAAAAATCTGTATTTTTTATGAGTTTTTGGAGAGAAGTTTGTCTTTTACTACCAGAAATAATCCTGGAAGTCAAGATAAGGTTGGAATAAGGCATCTCCTTTGGTGTAAAGTGGCCCTTTTCTTTTGTCTCGCTTTTTCCCCTTTGGATCATGTTAATGGAATAATCCTAAGGGTAAAACTGGAGACTTTGGCTCCAAGCATGAATTTAAAGAAATGTTCAGTTAAATTGTATTGAATAATCTACATCCTTGGTTTTTCACTTTTTTAAATAGAATTGTTTTGGAATTTAAGGGACTTCTTTTTTCCCTTTAGTTATTTCTTCTAAGCTGTGACCACCTCATGTTTAATTCTATATAAATCCAGCTGTTATTTTTCACTCATTTCCTGTGTCCAGTTTATCACAAGGAAAACATTCTTGTGAAGAGCTTCTCCATAGAGTTTATTGAGATGAATTTTTAAAGTCTTCATTTTGAGAAATTGATTAAACTGCTACTGATGTTATCTGAGTGAGCTCAGCCCTATTGAAAGCTTAAAATCTAAAACTGATACTGTATGAAGTATCAGTTCCATATGGAAGCATTAAAAAAGTAACCCGATTGGGCGCGGTGGCTCACGCCTCTAATCCCAGCACTTTGGGAGGCCGAGGCAGGTGGATCACCTGAGGTCAGGAGTTCGAGACCAGCCTGACCAATATGATGAAACCCCATCTCTACTAAAAATAGAAAAATTAGCTGGGCATGGTGGTAGGCGCCTGTAATCCCAGCTACTTGGGAGGCTGATATAGGAGTATCGTTTTAACCCAGGAGGTGGAGGTTGCAGTGAGTCAAGATCGCGCATTGCACTCCAGCCTGGCCAGCAAGAACGAAACTCCATCTCAAAAAAAAAGTAACCTTAAATTTGAACCAACGTGAATTTAGGGTATGAAACTGATTTATATTGACATAATCTATGCATTTCTCACATAAATGAAGTGAATAAATACAAATAAATGGTACGATGCTGAACAAAAGAATACCTTTTAAGAAAATCTTTTGTGTTTCCATATAGGTTTAGGACATTAATATGTATTGTTCATCTGGTTGTGTGGGCACTCTAATTTATAAGCTGATCACCTCAAATTCCCTCTCACATTTACCAAGTTGTCAGGTAGGAAACATAAACATTTTATTCCTGCCCCTTTGAGAAAATCAGCGTAGAAGCATGTTATAATTTATAATTACAAAGAACAAAGGCCTAAAAGAGAAATTCCTAACCACAGGCCCACTTTCACATGGGTTTGAAACCAGAATTTATACCATATTTTTAGCCCCCAAATCCCAACTCAGGAATTTAATTAAATTTAAAGCTTCTCTATTTGGGTGGTGCTCCCAGAAACCTGTCAGAAGCAAACATAAATTCTCTTTGTAGAAAGGCACTTAAGCTGGGCGTGGTGGCTCACGCCTGTAATCCCAGCACTTTGGGAGGCCAAGGCAGGCAGATCACTTGAGGTCAGGAGTTCGAGACCAGCCTGGCCAACATGGTGAAACCCTGTCTTTACTAAAAATACAAAAATTAGCTGGGTGTGGTGGCGGGTGCCTGTAATCCCAGCTACATGGGAGGCTGAGGCAGGAGAATTGCTTGAATCTGGGAGGTGGAGGTTGCAGTGAGCCGAGATCGCATCACTGTACTCCATTCTGGGCAATAGAGCGAGACTCCATCTCAAAAAAAAAAAAGAAGAAGAAAGGCACTTAAAAACCTCAGCCTTGAGTAATCTCCACAGATAAGTTCCAAGGAACTTGAACTCACGTAAGAAAAAAATAAGCTGGCCTGTGTAAGAATTAACAGGAACAATACATTAAAGTCCTACAAAGAGTGTGAACTATCAAATACAGCATATAAAGTAAATATTTTTTTAAAAAAGGAGTATGTTAAAAGTATAAAGTATGGAGAAACAAAAGAATATAAAAATTACCAGAAAATCTGAAAAGGAATCAAATAAAACTAGGAATTAAAAAAAAAATAGAAACCTCAATTAGATAAGGTAAATATCAGATTAGATTTAGAGATTATAAACCTACAGATAATTGGAATTCCAGAAGGACAAAATAAAAAAAATTCTTGGTAAGGCCAAAAGATAATGAATGGAAATTGTCCCAAGTTCATAGCAGTGGTCAACAAATCTTAATTAAGAATCTAGGCCGGGCATGGTGGCTCATGCCTGTAATCCCAGCACTTTGAGAGGTCAAGGTGGGCAGATCACTTGAGGTCAGGCGTTCGAGACCAGGCTGGCCAACATGGTGAAGCCCCATCTCTACTAAAAATACAAAAATTAGCCAGGTGTGGTGATGCGTGCCTGTAGTCCCAGCTACTTGGGAGACTGAAGCACAAGAATCACTTGAACCCAAGAGATGGAGGTTGCAATTGAGCTGAGATCGCACCACTGCACTCCAGCCTAGGCGACAGAGCAACACTCTGTCTCAAAAAAAAAAAAAAAAAAAAAGAATCTAAAAGAAAATTCATACCTACACACATCATAGTAAAGCTAGAGGACCCCAGAGACAAAGAAAAGATACTAAAAACAAATAGAAGATTATTTACAAAGAATTGACAATTTCACAGAGAGCTGACTTCTGAAGAGCAACATTAGAAACCAAAGGAGAGTGGAATACGATCTTCCAAGAACTGAGAGGAAAATAATAATCCTAAAATTGTATACCCAGTGAGAAAATACCTGTCAAGAAAGGCAAAGACAAAAACATTTGCAGATGAATAAAAATGCTCACTACTAAAGGAACCTCGCTAAAGGAATTTGTAAAGGGTATGTTTCGAGGAGAAGGAAAATGATCTTAGGCATTTGACAAAATTCAACCCTCAATTCACATTTTTAAAAACTCTCAGAAAGTTAGGAATAGAGGGTACCTTCTCAATCTGAAAATGCACATCTATGAAAAACCTACCTAGCTACCATCATACTTAATGTTAAAAGACTGAACATTTTACCTTAATATTGGGAACAATGCAAGAATGTCACTCTTAGTGCATCTATTCAGCATTTTACTAGTGATCCTAGCTAGTGCAGTAATACGAGAAAAAGAAATTAAAGGCATTCAGATCGAAAAGGAAATATTAAAATTTTCTTTATTCATAGATGACGTGATTGTGTACATAGAAAATGCTAAGGAATCTACAAAGCAAAGTACTAGAACTAACAAAGTTAGCAGTATTGCAGGACATAGATCACTTTAAAAAAATCAGTGGCATTTCTGTATATTAGCAGCAATTAGGAAATGAAATTTTAAAAAGCAATACCATTTATAATAGCATTGAGAAACATAACGTAGGAATACATATAATGAAATATGTGCAAGATGTGTAAACTAAATACTACAAAGTATTGCTGAAAGAAATTTTAGGGCCGGGTGCAGTGGCTCACGCCTATAATCCCAGCACTTTGGGAGGCTGAGGTGGGTGGATCACCCGAAGTTGGGAGTTTGAGACCAGCCTGACCAACATGGAGAAACCCTGTCTCTACTAAAAATAAAAAATTAGCCCGGCGTGGTGGTGCACACCTGTAATCCCAGTTTCTCGGCAGGCTGAGGTGGGAGTATCGCTTGAACCCGGGAGGCGGAGGTTGTGGTGAGCCAAGATCATGACGTTGCACTCCAGTGTGGGCAACAAGAGCGAAACTCCATCTCAAAAAAATAAAAAACAAAGAGCGAAACTCCATCTCAAAAAAAAAAAAACAAACAAAAAAGAAATGTTAAAAGCCCTAAATAAATGAAGAGGTATACCATATTTATAAATTGGAAGGCCAGTGGTATACCTAGCATATTTGACATTCAGAATGGATCATATTTAACAGCCCTTTCCTTTATATGTCAAAATTGTTAGTAATTATCATGAAATGAAACAGATAATTACTGATTCCTGCTTTTGTCTTATTATTCCTTTCGTTATCTTCAGATTTTCTCTGTTTATCAGTCATTCAGCAAATATTTATTGGGCACTTAATATGTTCCAGGCCTCACTTAAAGAAAAACAGACAAAACAATCTTTGCTCTCATGAAGCTTGTTTTTTAGTGGTGGGAAACAGGCAAAAATCTTAATAAATAAATAAATTATATATTAGAAGGTAATAAGTGCTATATAGAACAGCAAAATAGGGAAAGAGGGATGGGCAGTATTGGAGGTCTAGTGGGTTGCCATTTTTAATAATTGCTTTAGGCCTTAATGAAAAGTGACATTTGAACATCAGCTTGAAGGAGGTGATGGAGTTACCCTTTTGGGTATCTGGAGGAAGAGCATTCCTTGCCAAAGGAACAGGCTGGGCAAAGGCCCTGCAGCCAAAGCATACCTAGCATGTTTAAGGAACATCAAAAAGCTGGTAGAGGGGGAGTTAAATTAGCAAGAGGGAAATGAAATCAAAGATATTATGAGGGCTAGATGGTAGAGGGTCTTATATGCCATTGTAAGGACTAAGTGACAAGAGGATGTGTTTGGATTGCTTTGACTGATCTGACTTCCATTTTAAAAGGATGTTCTTTCTGGCCGCTGTAGAGAATAGACTAAAGCAGAGTCAGGATGGAAGGAAGGAGTCAGCTTTTGAAAAAGGTGAGAGGAAGACTTGGGTGGACGAGGTGGATAACAGTAGAGGTAATAAGAGGTGATAAGATACACGAACATTGGATGTACTTAGGGCAACAGTATTTGCTGACAAATACTGGAGAGTGAGAAGGAGAGGTCAGTTTGGCCTGCACAGCTGGAAGGATGGTGATGAGGATTACTATAGGTAGAACAAGCTTGGGTAGGGTAAGAGCTCCATTTTGGATGTGTTGAGTCCTTTTTGACATCCAAATGGAGGTGTCAGATAGGGAGTTTGTATGTCTGGAGTGGGGGTGTGTAACTTGACCATGTAAACCTTTAGGATTCTAAATACATCAAGCCACATGTCTTATTGATGTGGGTATACTGGAGAAAGTTACAAATGAAAAAGTACTAAAGTACTGCTGGATCCAAAAGTTTACCATCTTCAAAATGAAAAGCATTATAGACTGCTTCTAACACATCAAGTGCACTTTCAGGGATATGTGTGGTTTGGAAATACAAATTTGGGAATTGTCAACTTACAGATAATATTTAGACAAGAGAAAACATGTAAGGATCAAACCATGTTACTAATTTCTTATTTCTTAACATGGTTATTCAGTTAATTCTTTTTTTAAAATTCTTTTTTTCTAATATGCATGGATCCAATTGTAAAGTTAAGGCAATTTCTAAAATTTCTAAACACATGAGACTTTTTTGTATTCTTTGATGCTTTGTGTTAATTATTGAATTTTGGTGAGAGATGATATTCTGTATGATAATGATTCTTTGGTAGAGTTGAGATTTCTTTTAGGGCCTAGCATCTAAACAATTTTCCTAAAAAATTGTGCTTAAAAAATTCCTCAAATTGTTGGGTGCAGGTTTCCCCATATTCTCATTTTATCAAGCTTATTATGTGTGCAGAAAACATTAAATTTAATTTTTAACAATTCTTATTGATACATAATATTTGTACATTTTTATGGAATACATGTGATATTTTGCTAAGTGCATAGAATGTGCGGTGATCAAGTCAGGGTATTTCCTCATGTTCTCACTTATAACTGGGAGCTGAATGCTGAGAACACATGGACACATAGAGGGAAACAACACACACCAGTGTCTGTTGGAGAGTGGAGGGTGGGAGGAAGGAGAGGATCAGGAAAAATAACTAATGGATACCAAGCTTAATACCTGGGTGATGAAATCATCTGTACAACAAACCCCCATGAAACATGTTTACCTGTATGACAAACCCACACATCCTGCACGTGTACTCATGAACTTAAAAGTTAAAAAAAAAACAACTCGGTATTTAGGGTATCCGTCACCTTGAATATTTATCATTGCTGTGTGTTGGGAACATTTCAAGTTCTCTTTTCTATTTTGAAATATACAATACATTATTGTTAACTATAGTCACCCCCCTGCTCTGCTGTTGAACATTGGAACTTGTTCCTCCCATCTAACTCTGTGTTTGTACCCATTAACCAACCTCTCTTCATCCTTCCCCACCCTCACACACCCTTCTCAGCCTCTGGGTGACCATCATTCTACTCTCTACCTGTATGGGATCAACATTTTTAGCTCCCACCTATGACTGAGAATATGTGATATTTGTCTGTGTCTGGCTTATTTCAGTTAACATATAATCTTCAGTTCCATCCATGTTGCTTCAAATGCCAGGATTTCATTCTTTTTACCACCAAGTAGTATACCACATTGTCTTTCCATTGAGGGCATACAGAGAAATTATTTCTAAATAATTGATATAGAAGTAAAGATGATGTCCTGTGGAGAACTGTGTGCTGACTCAGAACCTTTGACTCAGAACCTTTAGCGATGATGAAGACATTGACGTCAAAGATGCATTTAAAGACTTTGGATGAAATTGAGTCATGAAACTGAAATAAAGCTGTATTTCTAAATTTTTGTGCTTTTAAATTTTATCAGTAGTTGTAGGAGGAAAGAGAGAAATAAGGTTTAGTAGGAGAAGTACAAGTGACAGCAAGCTTTTGATGTTTTTTTTAATGGAGCAAGCAAACCCCAAATATAAGTTGATCTTTCCCAAGAAAGGATCTCTAAAAACTAACTCAACCATGTAAACCTTTAGAATTCTAAATAAATCAAGACATATATCTTGTTGATGTGGGTACAAATGAAAAAGTACTAAAATGCTGCTGGATGCAAAAGTTTACCACCTTCAAAATGAAAAATACCCTAGACTCCTTCTAACACGTCATCAAGTTAGAAGGAGTTTGATGACTCCTTCTAACACGTCATCAAGTTCAGCTCTGTCTACAGTGGCATTCTTCAGCTTCCTGTGAAGGCATCCATTTATCATTGTCCCCAACCTTTGTATGGACATGTGAGAGAAATCGTGACAGAGGAGGCCTTGAGTGGAGAGGCTGGAAGAGTGTCATTGTCAGCTGTACTTCCACCTGGGGTACTCCAATGCAGACAGGTGGGGTGTGGAGTGAGCTCATAGCAGTGACGTGGATGCCAGTTTGGATAGTTACTTAGAGAGGATCCATGATCTATCAGTCAATCATTATACAGTATTTAGGCTTAGAAACTTTTTCAAAGCCAATCATTTCAGATATCAATTATGAATTATTTGTCACTGGAGAGAGTAATGGGCAATTTATGAATATCTCTGAACCTTTGGACCTGAAGCAAACTAACCCACTTTGAAAGTTAGTAGTAAGTTTGAAATTGGAAAGTTTGTGTCTCTAAATTTGTTCTTCTTTTGGAAGACGCTTTTTGGGCTATGTCTGTTGCGTTTCCATGTGCATTTAGAGTCAGCTCATCAAGTTTTGCAAAAAGGTATTTTGTGATTTTGTTAGGAATTGTACTGAATCAATAGATCTATTTGGGGAATATTGCTATCTTAGCAATATGAAATCTATGAACATGTGAAATCTTTCCATTTATTTAGGTGTTCTTTCTTTCAATGATGTTTTATAATTTTCAGTATACAAGCTTCACACTTTGGTTAAATTTCTTTCTTTCTTTTCCTTCCTTTCTTCCTTCCTTCCTTCCATCTTTTCCTTCCTTCCTTTCCTTCTTTCTCTTTCTTTTCTTTTCTTTCTTTCTTTCTTTCTTTCTGCCTTGCCTTCTTTCTTGCCTTTCCTTCTTTCCTTCTTTCTTGCCTTTCCTTCTTTCCTTCTTTCTTGTCTTTCCTTCTTTCCTTCCTTCCTTCCTTCCTTTCTTTCCTTCTCTCTTTCCTTCTTTCTTTCCTTCTTTCTTTTCTTTCTTTCCTTCCTTCCTTCTTTCCTTCTTTCTTTCCTTCTCTCCCTCCCTCCTTCCTTCCTCCTTCCTTCCTTCCTTCTTTCTTTCTTCCCTTCTTTCTTTCTTTCCTTCTTTCTTTCCTTCCTTCCATCTGTCCATCCGTCCGTCCTTCCTTTCTCTCTGTCACCCAGGCTAGAGTGTAGTGGTGCGATCTTGGCTCAATGCAAACTCTGCCTGCCGGGTTCAAGCAATTCTTGTGCTTCAGCCTCCCAGGTAGCTAGGATTACAGGCATGTGCCACTGCTCCCAGCTAATTTTTGTATTTTTAGTAGAGACAGGGTTTCACCATGTTGGCCAGACTGGTCTCGAATTCCCAACCTCAGGTGATCTGCCCACTTCGGCCTCCCAGAGTGCTGGGATTACAGGCGTGAGCCACTGCGCCCAGCCAGGCTAAATTTATTTCTACATATTTTTTATGCTATTGTAAATAAAACTGTTTTTTTTTTTCTTTTTTTTGAGACAGAGTCTTGCTGTGTCGCCCAGGCTGGAGCTCAGTGGTGCCATCTCAGCTCACTGCAAGCTCCACCTCCAGGGTTCACGTCATTCTCCTGCCTCAGCCTCCCCAGTAGCTGGGACTACAGGTGCCCGCCACCACGCCCAGCTAATTTTTTGTATTGTTTTTAGTAGAGATGGGGTTTCACCGTGTTAGCCAGGATGGTCTCGATCTCCTGACCTCGTGATCCGCCCACCTCAGCCTCCCAAAGTGCTAGGATTACAGGCGTGAGCCACTGTGCCCGGCCTCTTTTCTTAATTTCATTTTCAGATCACTGTTAATATCTAGAAATACAATTGAATTTTGTAATATTGATCTTGTGTCCTGCAGCTTTGCTGAACTTGTCTATTAACTCTAATAGTTTTGCTTGGTTGGTTGTTTTGTTTAGAGACAGGGTCTTGCTCTGTCACTTTGGCTGGAGTGCAGTGACACAATCATAACTCACTGCAGCATTGAACTCCTGGGCTCAAGTGATCCTCCCACCTCAGCCTCCTGAGTAGTAGGACCACAGGCACGCACTACCACACCTGTCTAATTTTTAAAATTTTTTTTTTGGAGGGAGAGAGTCTCTCTATGTTGTCCAGTGTGGTCTCAAACTCTGGCTTCAAGTGATCCTCCTGTCTCAACCTACCAAAGTGTTGGGATTACAGGCGTGAGCCACTGCACCTGACTCTAATAGCTTCCTTTGTGTGGACTCTTTAGAGTTTTCTGTGTATGAGATCATGTCATCGGCAAATAGAGATAATTTGACTTCTTGACTTCTTCCTTCGTAGCTTCACAGTCTGGACTTTTTTTTTTTTTTTTTTTTTTTTTTTTTTTTTTTTTTGAGATAGGGTCTTGCTCTGTCACTCTGGCTGGAATGCAGAGGCACAATCATGGCTCACTGCAGCCTTGCCCTCCCGGGCTCAGGTGATCTTCCCACTTCAGCATCCCAAGTAGCTGGGACCATAGGCTCATGCCACCACACCCTGCTGATTTTTTTTTTTTTTTTTTTTTTTTAGACAGTTGCTCTGTCAACCAGGCTGGAGTGCAGTGGTGCAATCTCAGCTCACTGCAAACTCTGCGTCCTGGGTTCATGCCATTCTCCTGCCTCAGCCTCCCGAGTAGCTGAGACTACAGGCGCTGGCCACCATGTCCGGCTAATTTTTTGGGTTTTTCTTAGTAGAGACAGGGTTTCAACGTGTTAGCCAGGATGGTCTCCATCTCCTGACTTCATGATCCACCCACCTTGGCTGCCCAAAGTGCTGGGATTACAGGCATGAGCCACCGTGCCTGGCTGCTCTGCTGATTTTTATACTTTTTTAGAGATGGGGTTTCGCCATGTTGCCCAGGCTGGTCTTCACCTCCTGGGCTCAAGTGATCCTCGCGATCTTCCTGCCTCAGCCTACCAAAGTGTTAGGATTACAGGAGTGAGCCACTGTGCCAAGCCCCAGTCTGGACATCTTTTATTTCTTTTTCTTGTCTAATGGTTGTGGTGCACCCACTTAGTCTTAAATGATGGTTTCACTGGGTTTAGAGTCCAGCCAAAGTTGTTTTCTCTTCATTGCTTGAAGGTATCGCTCCTCTATTATAATCAGTTTTGCTGATGGCAATCTGATTCTCCTTCCTTTTTGTCGAATGTCTCATTTTGCTGGTAAACTTTTAGGATTTTTTTTGTTTTTTGTTTTGTTGTTGTTGTTGTTGTTATTTTGTTTTGAGACAGGTTCTCACTCAGTCGCTCAGGTTGGAGTGCAGTGGTGCAATCACGGCTCACTGCAGACTCCACCTCCCTGGGCTTAAGCAATCCTCCCACCTCAGCCCCACAAATAGCTGAGACCACAGGTGTACACCACCATGCCCAGCTAATTTTTTATTTTTGTAGAAACAGCATCTCACTATGTTATCCAGTCTTGTCTTGAACTCCTGACCTCAAGTGATCCTCCTACTTTGGTCTCTCAAAGTGCTGGGATTACATGCATGAGCCTCTGCATTTGGCCAGGATTTTTTTTAATACTTTAATAAATCTGAAGTTTTACTATAACCTGTCTGTATATAAGCTTTTTGAGTTTCTATTTAATTTAATTTAATACTCAGGATTCTTAGTTTCTGAAGACTCATGCCTTAAATCTGAAAAATTTTCAGCCATTGTCTGTTTAGATACTATCGCCTCTCCTTCATTCTCTTTAGTTTGTCTGAACCCTAAAATATAGACTTTAAAACTTTTGGATTGCTGGGCACAGTGGCTCATGCCTGTAATCCCAGCACTTTGGGAGGCCAAGGCTGATCTCTTGAGGTCAGAAGTTCAAGAGCAGCCTGGCCAACATGGTGAAACTCTGTCTGAAACCCAACAAAAATTAGCTGGGCATGGTGGCTCACACCTGTAATCCCAGCTACTCAGGAGGCTAAGGCAGGAGAATCGTTTAAGCCTGGGAGGTGGAGATTGCGGTGAGCTGAGATCTGACTACTGCATCCTAGCCTGGGCGACAGAGCGAGTCTCCATCTCAAACAAACAAAAAATTAGCTGGGCATGGTGGCATGTGTCTGTAGTCCCGGCTAGTTGGAAAGCTGAGAGGCAGGAGGATCCTTTGAGCTGAGGAGTTCGAGGTTGCAGTGGCAGCTATGATCCTGCCACTGCACTCAAGCCTAGGTGACAGAGTGAGACCCTGTTTCAAAAGAGAAAAGAAAAAAAAAAACTTCTAGATCTAGCTTTTACATTTAACTTATTTTTTATGTTCATCAATCTTTAGCTGTATTCAGTTTTGTTTTGTTTTTTGTCTCAATAACTATGGTTTTCATTTTTAAAGCCTCTAATTGGTTATTTTTCAGAACATTTGATGGATGCTGTTTTATCCTTTAGGGGCCTGAGGATCTTAGGTATTTGAAGACCTTTTTGGATGCTCTGTTTTCTCTGCTTTTCGGGGGGCCCCATGGGGGTCAGAACCTAGGTTCTTCCAGCCTCCTCAAAAGTGGCCAGCAGTCCTTGTGTGTGTGGCTCATGGCCGCTGAGAAGCAGCCCTTGCTCACCACTATGATTCTTCATTTTCTTCCTTAGAGGATACTTTTTCATTTTGTTTAGGCATTAAACAGAGTTTCCTTTTTTGTTTTGGTCCTAGCTATACATGCATTAATTATGCATTAATTTATGTTTATATCTTTAAGTCATTTTTTTTTTGGCACAGGAGGGTGAGCTCTCCGCATGTGCTCACTCTACTACCTTGTACTGGAAGTCCCTGGACTACTTCTGCAGCTGATTTATAGTTCACTGGCAAAGCACTGTCTCCCAAGGTCTCTGTGTGGTCTTTTCAGCAGAGACTTAGATACACATTTTAATGAAATGGTAGGTGGTTTTTCTTTCCCTTGGCAAATTCTCTAATGTCTTGGGGCATTTTACATTTCTTTTAGGTTCTTTTGGTCCAGAAATGAGATGCTAAGAATGATTGAACAGCGTAGTTGGCCTGATGTGTTTAGTACGCATGAGGAGCGCTGCTGCCTCTGTTGGGTGTGTGCCTGTTTAGGCCTCATTACTCCTCCCACTCACAGATTTTTGCTATCCCAAATGGCTTATCTACCAGCCTTCTTTGAATTCCTTGTCTGGATATCTTTTCCATTTAAAATTCATGTCAGTTGAGCACCCGACCAATTGACACTTTTGGGTTTCAGCCAATACATTGCTTAAGGTAGATTAGAATGGTAAGTAGATGGCCTGGCACAGTGGCTCACTCCTGTAGTACCAGCACTTTGGGAGGCTGAGGCAGGAGGATTGCTGAGGCCAGAAGTTCAAGACCAGCCCTGGCCACAGAGTGAGATCCCATGTCTACAGAAATATAAAAATAAAAAAAATTAACTGGATATGGTGGTGCACCTGTAATCCAAGTTACTTGGGAGGCTGAGGCAAGAGGATCCCTTCAGCTCAGGAGTTTGAGGTTGTAGTGAGCTATAATCATGCCAGCGTACTCCAGCCTGAGTGAAAGAGCAAGACCCTGTCTCAAAACAAAACCAAAAAAAAGAATGGTAAGTAGAATTATAAAAGCTCAGCTATAAGAGAGTCATTCATAATTGAACTAATATTTGTTGAGCAACCAGTGTGTTCCAATTGTGGTTTTCAGTACACATTGTGAATGCAATGAAGACAGAGATGAAACAAGTACTAGGGTCCCTGCTCTCGCAAAGTTTACAAGCTCATAAGTGAAACCAACCAACAAATAAAAACTAATTACATATAATAGCAAATTATGATAAGTATTATTTAAAAAGAAGAGGATACTATGAGAGAATATAGCAGGGACTTCTAATTTAAATTTTGTAGTCAGGAAAGGGGTTTTCAAACTTTTTAAAAAAGCAGTAGAACATTTTATTCCTATGAAATGTTATGTGGAATAGAAGTGGAGCTACCCTTATTGGAACAAGATTGGGGCCTAACATCCTTCGTCTGTTCCCCTTGCTGTTCATCATGGTCACTGAAGCACCATGTGGCATCCTCAGATCCCCAGAGCACAGCATGTGAAAATCAGTGCTCTAGAACCAGCCCCTGTCATTTCACAGACCAGTTAGCTGAGACACACAGGGCTTCATTGTCCAAAGTCATGCAGGTCACATAATCCACTTAGTATCAGAGTTGGAGCCAGAACCAATTTTCCCAAACTTTTTCCCACTCTCCACTGCCCCCCTTTCCTTCCTGATATGGTTGTTTTTGTTTTTGTTTGTTTGGTTTTTTTTTTTGCAATGACACGATCTCGACTGAGTGCGTCCTCCGCCTCCCCGGTTCAAGCGATTCTCCTGCCTCAGCCTCCCGAGTAGCTGGGATTACAGGCACCCTGCCACCATGCCTGGCTAATTTTCCTATTTTTAGTAGAGACAGTGTTTCACCATGTTGGCTAGGCTGGTCTCAAACTCCTGACCTCAGGTGATCCACCCGCCTTGGCCTCCTAAAGTACTGGGATTACAGGAGTGAGCCACCATGCCTGACCTTGATATGTTTTCATTATAAAATTATGGTATTTCAATCTCATAATCTCAAACATTCTATAGATCTTTTTTTTTTTTTTTTTTTTTTGAGACAGGGTTTCATTCTGTTGCACAGACTGGAGTGTGATGGCATGATCATGGCTCCCTGCAGCCTCAACCTCCCAGGCTCAAGCAATCCTCCCACCTCAGCCTCCTGAATAGCTGGAACCACAAGAATGCACCACCACACCTGGCTAATTTTTGTATTTCTTTTGTAGAGATGAGGTTTCACCATGTTGCCCAGGCTGGTCTCAAACTCTTGGGCTCAAGCAGTCCACCCGCCTCAGCCTCCCAGAGTGCTCCCAGTGAGCCACTGCACTCGGTCTGTAGTTTTTTCCTGTAATTAATTTTACCCATTATTGTTCACATTGCCCTTCACATTCTGCACTGTGTCCCTCATCTATATCCTTAGAGTTTGTAGCCTTGAAAGATGATATCCCACTGTTATTTTGTTTTTATTATATTTCTGATATGAATCAGCTCTTTCATCTTCTGCTCAGTAGTCTAACACATGCACCCATTTTATTTTAGGCTCTTAGTTTGGATATCTGAGTGTGTGTAGTAACAGTCACACTAGTTGGTTTGTCTGATTTGTTGGCTTGGCTTTTCTCACTTCTTCATTTATCTAAGTAAATAATAGAATTATTTCCCGGGCACTGAGGTATTTAGTAAGGGTTTCATTTTGACTACCTCTACTTTTAGTGTAAATACTTGTGTAGTTTTTGTCATTTTGTTTTGTTTTTGTTTTATTGTGCCAGAAAATTTCCAGACCTGTGTTTGAACAGTGTAGGAAGGGGGAGAAGTGGTGACAATGAGGAGGCCCTGGGAGACTGAGGCTGTGCTGTCTGGGCAGTGCCTGCACAGACAAAGAGTTTTGTTCTAATTTGGGAGACTAGTAGAGAATTGATGATTTGGGGTAGAATGGTGACATGATGAGAGCGGTGCTTAGGAAAGTGATTTTAGCTGTGAGAAATCAGATAAGTAACAATAGAAAGGTTCCCTGGACACCCATGAACCAGTAGAAAACCTAGAATATTTAAGTAACATTAGCCAAATGAGGGCTGAAATGTGATGGTGGCAGTGGGGATAGAAACCAGGAACACAGTTTTAGGAGCTATTGACTACATGAAATAAATAAGAGGCCACAGAATGACTCTGACTGGCAGAGACAATCTCATGATGGGACTACCCTGTCAGAGACATCCATCAGAGCCTGCTCAGCAGCTCACACTGGATAGCCCTTTTGTTTCAACTGCCCTCGTATAAGCTGCCTTTATGAATTAAGGAGCTGTCTGCATCAAAGCGGTAGACAGACACCATCGTCCTATTTTTTCACCCTGCTTGCATTCCCATTAACTCCTCTTCAGCAAAACAAAAAACTCAAGCCTTACTGGTTCTCCCTACCTCCTGATAGCTACCTACCTAGACTGCTTGGCAGACACAGTTCTGTAGGCTACTTTCTTATCAAGAGTTGGCAATTAGAAGAGGCCCTTGGAGAGGAGGTGGGAGTGCTCCTTAAAGTCCTCATCGGAATGGAATTGCTGACCGGGTTCATTAGGCTATGGATTTGCAGCAAGACTTGGATTCTATTGCAAGTAGGTGTGTTTCATTTTTAAGCTTCCAATGAGCAGTACCTACACTGTGTGCTACCTCTGTCTTCCTGTCCTGTCATTTGACTGCTTTGTGGACTTGCTGGTGGAAGGCAGATGTGTGTTTGCCTTCTAATGAGTTGTCCTCTTGAGCCTCCTCTTTCCCAAAATGCTCTGTGGGGAAGACTACCTTGTAGAGAAGACCCTTCGTCATGTGATTGTTCTGTTTCCTTAGAGACAACAGCAGCGTAATGCATTAGAAGCCAGATCTGTAGAGAAAGAAGAAGGCTTTGCTACAGAGTGTGAAGGTTTAATAGTTATTCTTCGCCTTTATATTTTTGCCACCTTAAGCACTGGGCTAATGATGATTGTGTTTATTTTTGGCAAGATGCTAGAGCCCCTAGAACTTCCCAGGGAGTTTCTATTAAATGGGCAGCCCACTATTATCTTTTTTTTTTTTTTTTTGAAACAGAGTCTCACTCTGTCACCCAGGCTGGAGTGCAGTGGTGCAATCTCAGCTCATTGCAACATCGGCCTCCCGGGTTCAAGCGATTCTCCAGCCTTAGCCTCCCAAGTAGCTGGGATTACAGGCACCCACCACCATGCCTGGCTAATTTTTGTATTTTTAGTAGAGATAGGGCTTTACATGTTGGCCACGCTCGTCTTGAACTTTTGACCTCAGGTGATCCGCCTGCCTCAGCCTCCCAAAGTGCTGAGATTACAGGTGTGAGCCACTGCGCCCAGCCCCACTATATCTCTTCTTGTTTGGTAAAAATATGTGAGAGTCAGCCTGTCATCTATAGCAGTGAATTCATTTCCATTTTTGAAAACAGATTTCAGTTGATGACCATGTGAACAGGTCGGGAAATGACTTTGCATCATGCATTTTGTTGACCCCTCTATGAGCAGTAACTTGTTAAAGCATTTAAGATGCCATCCTTTCTCATTTTTCTTAAATACAGGACTTAGCATCTACATAAAGTAGGAACAACTTCCTAAGTTTAATGAACAAGGAGAACAAGGAAGGAGGGATTCATCATGGAAAGGTTTTTAAAAATAAAAAAATACATTTCTGTTGATTTGATGATCCGGTTTATAAGACTCTCGACTGCTTTTTCAACATAATGATGATAAATTGAGCAATACTGTTAAATAGTTAATTTGTTATAGTTAATAACTATTGTCTCATTTTACAATTCTGTCCCTTTCTAGAGCTAGAGAGATATTTGGCTTCCTCTCCATGTCTCTAGACACTATCTAGTGGTGAAAGTGTAAGAATGGATTTGTGGTAAACTTTTCCTTCCTGAGAAATAGTTCATTAAACAAGTCTGATACCACAAATGGCTATGCTAAATTGCTACGAATATAAATTGAGGCATATATGTCTGCTGATAGGGGAGTTTTTTATATTAACCAATTGGTTAATTAATTGTAAATGATCAGTAAACTTAAATGCACTTCCCGGAAGTCAGAAACCTCATTGTAGGTATGTAACATGATATTTATGCTACACTTACAGTACCAGATGCTTATTTTTTTAACATCATGGTTTTCCAAAAGGTGTTTTTGCTTGTTTGTTTAACTTCCTTGCTTTGGCAGATAACCATAGAACCCCGTGAGGTAACAAGAAATGGTTGGTCCATTACATAGAGATAGACAAAGAGCATGCTACTCAAGGAGATCAAGAATGATCCACACTATCCACACGAGAATCATTGCAATGAAAGGGCTTTTAGAACCTGGGCTCCTTAATATTTCACCAGAGCTGCAGCTTACCAGCATTATAGATCAATGTAATCCCTTATGTCCTCTTCATCATAATGGAATAATAAGAAAACTGGTTTTCTTTCTAGACAATATATTGTTTTCACTTAAGGGTCCACGAATAGGTCTCTAACCACAAATTTTTGAAGAGTAGTAGTAACTAAAAAGAGAGAGAGAAGGCTGGGCACAATGGCTCATGCCTGTAATCCTAGCACTTTGGGAGGCCAAAGCAGATGGATCACTTGAGCCCAGGAGTTCGAGACCAGCCTGGGCAGCATGACACAACCCCCAACTCTATGAAAAATACAGAAATTAGCTGGTGTGGTGGCATGTGCCTGTAGTCACAGCTACTTGGGAGGCCGAAGCAAGAGAATCACTTGAGCCTGGGAGGTGGAGGTTGCAGTGGGCCAAGATTGCACCGCTGCACTCCAGCCTGGGTGACAGAACGAGACCCTGACTCAAAAAAAAAAAGAGAAATACCACCTTCATTCTGACGCATTGTGCAGCAGAGATGCTGAAGTGCCTGCACCCTGAGCACTGTCATTTGACACTTTTCTTTGGAAGAAAGTTAATCTTTAAGTAAGTGAACATTTTTTTGTTGTAGATTTGTTCTGCAGCCTCCCTTTTTTTTTTTTCTGGCAACAGTGCTCTCTCCTTAGAGATCTGTTCCCCTCCTAGCGCTAACTGTGATGTTCCGGGAGGAATACCAGTCATAGCATGGGGCCTGCTGAATGCCAGAGTAGGCAAGTGACTCAGGGCAGGCCAGAGGCTTTGCTGGGGATTTTCAAATTGGGATAAAGGAAGAGGTTTTATTCTCCAGTGGTAAAGCTGTGAGATTCTGGGCAGAAACTCTTTCTTCCTAAGCATAAAAAGCTGTGGGCCATGTGTAAAGCCTGACTCAAAATGAGATCTAAGCAAAGGTAACAGTAAACGTCCTAATGACATTCCAACATCCTGGAAGCCAGCTGCACCCCTGCCTTCGTGAGGTTGGTTATGAATTTAGTTAGTATTTAGTTATGGTGCCCAATAAGTTCCTCTCCCAACCACCCCCGCACTCCCCCCTCCTCCCCCCACCCCCCTTACCACTTAAACTACTTCAAGTTAGATTTGAGGCTAGTAGTCCTGAATTGGGGCAGTGTTTCTCAAACTTGAAAATTTATTGTTCCCTGAGAACTCTAATCTGAAAAATTCATTTGGATAATACAGAGATGCCTGAAATAAAAGAGTGTTTGTGGATTTGATCTATTCAGTGGCTTTAGAAGCAGATACAAGTAGTGTCCAATACTGATTCCATCATGTGACCTTGAACCCATTATCTTCCTTGACTTTTATTTCTTTATTTGCAAAATAGAAATACCACCATGAGTAGTAGTGAGAATTCACGTAATGTTTCTGAGGGGCCTGGCTCAGTGCTGATGCATTTCACACTCAGCAAATGCTTAGGCACTGTCTTCCCCCCACAACCTCCCCAATGCTGCAAAAGTAAAGAAATGTATGCAAAATACACAGCAAATCCTGTAACTGTTAACTTCATAGGATTTTTTCATATTATTTTGTTGTACTGGTTTTTGTTTATATCAAATGAAATAATTAAGTTGTCTTTGTTACAAATAGTCTTACATGTATTTGGTTATAAATTATCATCATATAGGATTTGATCTAAATATTGTAATATGTTAAGCTAAAGCTTAAGTATCTGTTGTTGCTATGACTGATGATTATGAGGACTGATTATAAACTTCTTGTGGGCAGGGACAGTCTTCAACTTGTTTTATTTTGTCCCGAAACCCCTAACAGTGCTAGGCATGAATAGGCCGTGGATTTTTGTTTGTTTGCATACTATGGCCAATGTTTATTTAAATGGAGCTTGTAACTAGAAAGGTTTTCTAGAGCTATTGAAATTTCAGGAGCTGTTTTTCTGATAAGAGAAGTGAGAAATTGTGTAACTTTGGCCAATCTATGAAGGACATTCCAGGATAAGTAGGTGGGAAAAGAGGTGAAAGCAGGGGCTTAGAAGAAGCAAAAGAACAACAACTTGATGGAGAGAGATGGGAGACTGAAGTGGTTTGATAGAGAAAAGAATGAGGTAGTCTATAGGGTGGGTTTTACATTTGTTTTAAAGTATGGTGAAATCTGCTGCATCATTTAAAAGAAGAAAAAGGTCTGATTCAAGTGAGTAGGGAAGATAATTTCAGAAGTAACATAGGTATCTAGGATTGAGGGCAAAATAGCTGGCTACAAAATATTAATAAGAGATTAAATGTATTTAAAATGGTTACCTCCTTTGTAAAGCATTATTATGGGGAATACAAAAAAAGAAGTCGAGCAAATGAAAGCATTAGGGCATAATAAATTCTTTCCCCCTTTCACACCAATAGTAATAAACAGACACCCAAAAAATCTGCTCAAGATTCCCAAATGCATGGCTAGCAGACAGCTGTCTATGTAAAAGAGAATTGCAGGACACTGATCTTAACCTCCACAGCTAAAAGAAATGTTCTGTGGGAAAGAGCTAATGCGCCAATAAATTTAAAAGTGAAGGGCAGGGGTAAGTACGTGGCTGTCTGCATGACTTCCTACAGAAGAGGCTCTGTCAAAGGGCCTGGGGAAAAGGGACAGCTCTGACAGGTGCCCCAAATCTCACTTGTCCTCCAGGCTTCAGCTGACTTTATTCATTTCCTCCTTTTTTTTTTGGAGACAAGGTCTCACTTTGTCACCCACTCTGGAGTGCAGTGATGTGATGTCGGCTCACTACAGCCTCAGTCTCCCAGGCTCAAGCAGTCCTCCCCTGAGCAGCCTCCTGAGTACCTGGGACTACAGGTGTGCACCACCAAAACCAGCTAATGTTTGATTTTTAGTAGTGATGGAGTCAGGCTGGTCTCAAATTCCTGGATGCAAGCGATTCTCCTGCCTCGGCCTCCCAAAGTGGTGGGATTACAGGTGTGAGCCACTGCACCCAGCCTACTCCTTCATCTTTAAAACTTTGCAATTTTAAGTAGAAATTTTGTCTACACGACATCAGTACTGTACTTTCACATCCTTGGTTAGAGACTCCTATCCAGACATTGTTTACCCCTGGATCTAAGTTAATTCAGAAAGCCAAAATGAGTCATAACACTCAGTGTTGATTTTAAGCCCATTGTTAAACTTTTTTTTTAGTCAACAGTCTGGTTTATATAATAGATAATTTGCTCATTAAATGTATGTATTTTGCTAGGCTGAGATTAGGAACCTAAAAGATCTTTGAAATGAAGATTAGATTTTAAAGTTAATCCTGTTAAGCTCTCAAGCCAGATGGTTTACGTTCAGAGAGCCATTTAGGACACAGAGTTCTAATAATATGATGGGGAAAGGGTAAATCACTCCAAAACTATACTTTGTAACTATTACTATCTTATCTTCCTATAGAAACAACAGGAACTATGATCTAACGTCATGCTGTTGGCTTTTTTTATATAGAGTAAATATCCTTAAGTGTTTTCCTGAAAGTGCAGCCGTGAAAGATAGTAGACAGTACACTCGAATGACTGAGCACACACACTCAGAGCCACACTGCCTCGGTTCAAATCCTCTTGCTCCCACGATTTGGCTCTGTGACCTCAAAAACATTACTTTTCTCCATGCCTCAGTTTTTTTTTTTTCCATCTGTAAAATAAAGATAATGGTATCTACTTCATTGGCTTGGTGTAAGGTTAAATGAGTGAATCCATGGAAAATGTTCAAACTTAGTCTGCCGTATAGGAAGCACTCAATAAATATTGCTATTATTAGTAAAGACACTCTCCACTCTGCTGATTCTATTCCTAAGTCATAGATGGTAGAAGAAAAAAAATAACAGACCAAGCAGTAGACATTAATAGAGTTAAGTAGAAAAGAATATACCACTGTTCCCAGTGAAGGGGAAAAAGAGTCTGCTATCGCTGCAGACGCTACAAATATATCCACCAAATATAACAGCGAATAATGTCATCCCATTTTTGGAGAATAGTCTCACCACATCTAAATATAATAGATTACTTCTTACCCACTCACCATTCCTGTTATATTCCGCAACATGGTGCTGACTCATGGGCAACAAATATTTACGGAGTACCTACTCTGTGCCTCATACTATGCCAGACACTTGAAATATAATAGTAAAAATATCACAGATTTCTTACAGTGTAGTAGAGGAGATCATCTAGACTGGTCTAAGATGTTTTCTTTATTCTCATTTTTGAGGAGTGGTGGTGGTAATGATGTTGGGAAGTTGTGGAACTTTGGATCTACTCAAACCATTTCACAGGTTTTCTACTGAAAGTCTCAAACTTCTACACCATAGTTTCTCCTCCCTCGTTCCCTCCCCCTGCCTCTTCCTCCCTCTCTCTCTCCCTCTGTGTGTGTGTCTGTGTGTGTGTGTGTGTGTGCTCATATAACACTTCCCTTCTCAGTTTGCTTTCTTAATAACAAAAATAATATAGGTTCACTTTAGAAATTTGATTCTTTTTTTTTTTACATTAAGCATCTTTTTCTCTTAGAATCAGGAAAAATTAAACTGAAAAGGTTGGAGAAGTGTTGGAAAGTATACTTTCCCATAATTCCCATAATTCCCATAATTCCACTTATCTTAACATTTGACCATATTGCCTCCAGATGTTTCATTTTATGCTTATGATGTAGTTGAGTGTGCTGTGTGTATGTATAAATAATTGTATACGACTATTGTGAAGACAGCATAAATAATGTATTTAAAGCTCTAAAGTGTCTGATAGATATCAAACACTCAGTAGTTGTTAGCTATCATCATCATCTTGCCCTTCTTTGTTATCTTCTATATGCTGAGCATTTTTCCAAGTAATCAAAAAGTCTTCATAAGCATTATTATTTAATGACAGCATAATATCCTATAATTATGGATATACCATGGTTTACTTTTCCTTTCCTTATATTTGAACACTTAGGATAATTTCAAAATTATCCTACCATAAATAACACTTCCTGAATATTTGTTAATATAAATCTCTTTGTGCATTTCTAATTAGTCTTTTGAATTGATTCCTAGAAGGAGAACTACTGAGCCACAGTGTTTGAATGTTTTCTAAGATCTTTGATGGACATATTGCCAAATCACTTTCTAGAAATTTGGCTTAACTTTTTACTTTCACTCTTGACTAGTAGTAAATTAAGGACCTGTGTCAGAAAACCGTCTCCACTCTTAAGGATTGCCTTTTTAAAAAGATCATTATTTTTCCCAGAGAAAGTGGTCTATAATTCCCCCTGCCCGCCACCGAGACAGGATCTCACTCTGTCACCCAGGCTGAAGTGCAGTGGTTTGATCTTGGCTGACTACAACCTTTAACTCCTAGGCTCAAGCAGTCCTCTCACCTCAGCCTCCTGAGTAGCTGAGACCATAGGCATATGCCACCACACCTAGCTGATTTTTTAATTTTTTGTAGAGATGGGGTCTTGCCATGTTGCTCAGGCTGGTCTCGAACTCCTGGGCTCAAGCGATCCTCCTGCCTTGGCTTCCCAGAGTGCTGGGATTACAGGCATGAGCCACTGTGCACAGCCTGTAATTTTTAATTAAATTTCTTTTGAGTCATTTGTATTTCTTCTTTTTAAACATGTATTTTTACTTTACCCATTTATCTAATTGGAATCCCTATAGTTTTCTTTTAAGTTTGTGTGAATCCTTTATGTATTAAGGCATTTAATTTTTGCTGTGTCACATTTGTTCAGGTAGTTCCTCAAATTTTTTTTTCTTTTCTGATGGTTTTAACAATTCAAATTAACTGGTGTTTTTCTAATTTTTCCATTGCTTTTGAGCTAAGAAAATCCTCTCTATTCATAGACCTATATTTTTTCTCTTAATTTATATAAACATTTATATTTAACTCTTCTTTTTTCTTTAAGAGACGGAGTCTTGGCTGTGTTACCCAGGCTGGCCTCAAAATACTGGGCTCGAATGATCCTCCCACCTCAGCCTCCTGCATAACTGGGACTGTAGGTGGGTTCCATCATGCCTGGCTTATATTTAACTCTTTAACACCCTAGAAATATGTTTTTCTTTATGGGATGAGATAATCTCAGTATTTTCCCATGCATATAGCAGTTTTTCTTACTTCTATTAAGTATTTGCTACATTATAATTATTTTTTCTAAATTTTTCTTCTTTGTAAGACTTCAGTTTTCATCTTTTTAATTTTTATTCCCAGAAGCTAGCACAGTGCCTGTCACATTATAGGCAAATATCTGATAAATGAAAGAAATATACAGTTGTATATAATCTGTCCTGAAACATTTTTAAAGGTACAAGTTATTTATCTATTCCTACAGATGATTTTAAAACCCTTAAGAGAGATTTTGTAGGAATTTTAATTTCTAGTTAGTCTGTATTTCAGAGCATCACCAGAATGAACTGGAGTGGTCTGGCCGCAAGGGAACTGCATGAAAATTATTTCTACCAGTAAGCTCAATTTGTGCTTTGTAATAGGAGATGTGTCTCCCCAATAACCAGAACCTCTGTTCCTGTTATCTAAGCCACCCTCTTACTGCATAGGTCCCCAAACCTCTCCTACCCCGCCTAAAAACAATAAATATAAATGTACGTTTTCGGCCAGACTTGGTGGCTCACGCCTGTAACCCCAGCACTTTGGGAGGCTGTGGCAGATGGATCACCTGAGGTCAGGAGTTCAAGACCAGCCTGGCCAACATGGCGAAACCCCGTCTCTACAAAAAATACAAAAATTAGCCGGGCATGATGGCGGATGCCTGTAATCCCAGCTACTCGGGAGGGTGAGGGGGGAATCGCTTGAACCTGGGAGGTGGAGGTTACAGTGAGCTGAGATTGCCCCATTGCACTTCAGCCTGGGCAACAGAGTGAGAGACTCCATCTCAAAACAATAAATAAATAAGTAAATGCACGTTTTTAGTGTTCAGAATACTGAAATGACCAGGTACTGTTTAATGACACTCATGTATTTTCAAACTTGACATTTCATCTGAGTTCTGTTCTCCTATTTTCAACTGCTTTCTAGACATCCACTTACCTGTACTTCAATGGTATCAATGGTACTTCAAACCCAACAATTTCAAAACTCAAATCCTATTCACTCTTATCTTCCTGCTCATTCTGTCTACCCATCCCTCCTCCTTTCCAACCTCAGATCTTGTTTCCTACTCTGTGTTTTCTAGTTTGGATATTTTACCACCCAGTAGTCAAGGTAAAAATCTCTTATTCTTTATTCCCTAACCCTGCGTACTTAATCAGTCACCCTCTCTTACTGGTTTTGTCTTCACAATAGCTTTCCTTTTCTCTTGCCCCCATCTTGACTACCACTGTCCATCTTCATAGTCACTGATCTGGGCAACTGCCATAACCTCTTACCTGGCCTCCTAGCTTCCATTCCCCTGCTTCCCAATATATCCTACATGATATATTTATATATTATGTGGGGCAAAGATTCCCCTCACCCCTAGAAGTTCAGAGTCACTGAACTGAGGGTAGGGCTTGGGTATCTTATCTTACAGAAAGCTTTTCAGAGGATTCCCATGCACGCTTTTGATAAAAGACCAGCATCTGCAAGATTCTGGAGTGAGCTTTTAAAATGATGTGATGGTCACATTGGTGTTTGTCTTACATTCAGTGCTTCTCCTGCTGCCTGCAATATAAAGTTCAGATCTCTCACCTTGTGCTAGGACAAGCTCCTTTCACATCCTGCCTCTCCTCTACCTTTCCACATGCGTTTCCAGCTACTCCCTTTCAGATGCCTTTGGTCAAACAAATAAATTAGACCCAGTTTCTCATGTATTTTTGGATTTCTATGCCATTTTACATACTATTTCTATCTAGGGTTCTCTTAATTCTTTTTCTGTATCTGGAAAACTGTTCTCAACGATGCCTCCTCTCTGAGGCCTTCCATGACGATTCTTGCCCCTTGTTCCTCCAGGCAGAAGTACCTCCAGGCAGAAGTACCTGATCTTCATCTGTGACTCTCAGCACTTGGTCTGTCAGTTGTCTCTCAGTATCCCTGGGGGTTGGTTCCAGGAGCCCCCACAGATATGGAAACCCAAGGATGCTCAAGTCCCTGAAATAAAACAGAATAGTATTTGCATATAACCTATGCGCATACTCCCATATACTTTAAGTCCTCTCTAGAGTACTTGTAATACCTAACACAATGCCTACACATCACGTCCTTTGCAAGGATTCAGTGTATTACTCAGCATATGGTGAATTCAAGTTTTACTTTTTGGAACTTTGTGGAACTTTTTCTCTGAATAGTTTCCATCTGCAGTTGGTTGAACCCACAGACATGGAGGACTGACCATACTTCATTGCTGCACTCATTACATGGCATTGTGATGATTTGCTTGCATGTTTGTCTCCATCTATATACAGTTAGGTCATTGAAATAAAGATAATCTTTTATCAGTAGGTACCCAGTAACAGTGATGCTTTCCCTTTAATTAAGAAGTACCAAATTCTTGCCAAGTCTTTAAAAACTACCTCTACTGACTACCAGATACTTTCTACCTATATCATCATCTTATTCTATCCCATCGAAAAAATGGTATATCTTATTAACAAAGAAGGAACCTCCCAAATTTCTGGACCAAGCGATAGATGGTGGCCATTTCAGTATCATGAAACTCAATAGTGCCTATACCTTGCTGAGATCTGTACCAAAGGAAGATACAGAACATCTGGTGCTCAAGGTATTCAACTGGTTTTACATGTTAAAGATCAACAAAACCAATCTAATGTTGTGCCAATTCTGTTTTTTTAAGTTTCTATAATTTGTAGCATTAATGTCTGCTTTACACCTGGAAATACTCTTTTCAGTTATGTCTTACAAGAACCATGAAGGTTTTGTATGTTTGTTTGAGCCAGAAGTCATTTTTAGTGTATTACCTTTTTTTTTTTTTTTTTGAGACAGGGTCTTGCTCTGTCGCCCAAGCTGGAGTGCAGTGGTGCAATCACAGCTCACTGCAGCCTTAACCTCCTAGGCTCAAATGATCCTCCCACCTCTGCCTCCTGAGTAGCTAGGACTACAGCACGTGCAACCATGCCAGACTCATTTTTATTTTTTATTTTTTTGAGACAGGATCTCACTTGTCACCCAGCCTGAAGTGCAGTGGCACAATGTCAGTTTCACTGAAACCTCAACCTCCCTGTGCTCAGGTGATCCTCCCACCCCAGCCTCCTGAGTAGCTGGGACTGCGAGCATGCGCCGCCACACCCAGCTAATCTTTGTATTTTTTTGTAGAGACGGGGTTTCGCTATGTTGCCCAGGCTGGTCTCAAACTCCCAGGCTCAAGCCATCTGCCTGCCTTGGCCTCCCAAAGTGCTAGTTTTATAGACGTGAGCCACTGTGCCCAGCCAGCAGGCTAATCTTTTTTATTTTTTTATTTTATTTTATTTTATTTTATTTTATTTTTTTGAGATGGAGTCTTGCTCTATCACCCAGGCTAGAGTGCAGTGGCGTGATCTTGGCTCACTGCAACCTCCGCCTCCCGGGTTCAAGCTATTCTCCTGCCTCAACCTCCCAAGTAGCTGGGATTACAGGCACCCGCCACCACACCCAGCTAATTTTTATATTTTTAGTAGAGATGGGGTTTCAACATCTTGGCCAGGCTGGTCTTGAACTCCTGACCTTGTGATCCACCCACCTCAGCTTCCCAAAGTGCTGAGATTACAGGCATGAGCCACTGCGCCTGGCCAGCAGGCTAATTTTTTTTTTTTAATTTTTGTGAAGACAGGGTCTCACTACGTTCCCCAGGCCATGTTATGCCTTCTAAGAATGCATCTGAGCTGTTGGCTTTCATGGTGAGTCGTGGCTCTAGTGAAGGTTCTGTAGTAAAGACCTCCTTTAAGTTTGCAAGTGCTTCTTTCATTTTAAACTGCAGACATATACCTGTCTTTCTAGCAAAGCATGTTAGGAGTTCAGAAAGGCTATGACATTTGGGGGTCAGTTATGATTAGTTTATAGTTTACAATATAGCCATTACTGTCTGGTTTTGAATATTAGAGAAGAAGCTTTGATATTTGTGCTATAATGGTTGAACATGATATATACCAAGAGATATTGATTATAAAGATGTTTGTGGTATCAGACCAAATTGTTACAAATCATGAAATTTTATTGCATGGATTTATGTTCTAGGAATTTGAATTTTTTATTCTCATTTTTCCTCTGAGAATACCAAAAAGGAAATTGAATGCAGTGATATCTTTAATATTGAAATATAGCAGGTGGCCGGGAATGGTGGCTCACACCTGTAATCCTAGCATTTTGGGAGGTGGAGGTGGGAGGATACCTGAACTCAGGAGTTCAAGACCAGCCTAGGCAACATAGTGAGACCTTGTCTCTATTATTTATTAAAAATTAAAAAATATATATATAGCAGGTAACTGTATTAGTTCTGAAAGCAATGTGAAAATGTCTTTATCTTCTTTTGGAAATAGATTGCTAATAATAATACATTAAAGAATAGCCCATTCTATTTCCAGGACCAGAAAGCTGTTGTGCTGGATTTGGTTCTTTCATAGGGATTGTCTCCTTGTTTCAGTTGGACAATTGATATAAGAGAACTAGAGGCAAAAATATAAATTTAGGACTAAATACAAGCTAATCTCTGTGTTCACTTCGATCATTAGTCAACCTAAAACAACTGATTAATTGACTATAACTCAGCACAGCCACTAGCATTAATAGTCTTGAAAGTTTGGGACATAATTGGATATCTGTCTGAAGACAGGTAGTCAGATAAATAACTTGGAATTGACTTCTAGCCTAGAGAGGCATATTTCAATTCTAAATGTCTTACTTAGAGACATGTCACACAAAGGGAGGAATGTAGAACAATAAGCATAGTACTATGGCTTAAAAATCAAGAGACCAAAATCAGTTCCCTGCAAATTACTTTCCATCTCGGATCCTCTCCATTAAATGGAAAAATCATTTTTAAAAATCCCTATACAGAAATGCAGTTGGTTTAAGAAGAAAAAAAAGTGCATAGATAGATGGAGAAAGAGATCCTTCTTTAACATCTGGGTTCCTTGGCCCTCCCTGAAATATTTCCCCTTGAGCTTTTATTTGAGTGTACTATGAAACCTGCAAAACAATAAAGCCTGTGATCCCTTAATATTCACAAAGAATTGCTAAGTATAACCTCTCCAGAAACATTTTACATAATTAACTCTGTCCTTAAACGGAAGGAGAAACCAGAAGGTAGTTAGTTCCCAAGCACCTAAATATGAGAGAAGGACTTTCAGCTTCAGTTTTATGCTTTTGATAGACAAATATGAGAAGTATAATCATGCATAACTTAACAATGGGGGATGCATTCTGAGAAATGCTTTGTTAGACAATTTTGTGTTGTGTTAACATCAGAGAGTGTACTTACACAAACCTAGGTGGTTTCGCCTGCTTCATACCTAGGCCATATGGTGTAGCCTAGGCCGTATGGTGTAGCCTAGGCTATATGGTGTAGCCTAGGTTTGCAGCAGGCAAAACCATCCAAGTATGTGTAAGTACACTCTATGTATGTAGCCTCCAAGCTACAAACCTGTACAACATGGGACTGTACTAAATACTGGAGGCAACTGTTACACAAGGGTATTTATGTATCTAAACATAGAAAAGGTACAGTAAAAATACAGTATTATAATCTGTTATAATGTATGTGGTTTGTCATTGACCTAAACATCATTGTGTGGCACATGACTGTACTTCTTCCAGTTTAAAAGAGGAAGTGAGAAATTTTCCAGTTTAAGTATTTAGCAATAGTCATGTGGTTCCAGATGCAAGACAGAACCCTTTTGTAGCTGAACCTGGTAGGGAGGGAGAGGGGTTGAAGAATGGCTGGAAGGCAAGATACCTGGCACCTTTTTGAGAAGCTTGAATTCATTCCTTCAGGACTTTCACAAGAAGGAGAAATGGACCTGAGTCTAGAAAACCTGCAGCTAAAGACAAGTTACCAAAAATGCTAACCTTGAAGTTTAAATTTGGATTAGGGGTTATCAAAGACAACATTCTAATTAGGGTATAGGTGTAAAATTTGGATTTGTTGTTCAGATTCTAGTAGAGAATTAATCAAAGTTTGTTCCAGAGTCTTTATTTTTGAACGTGGTATTTAACAGTCTGTTCTGGTTAAAAGTTTACAAACTAAGTCTGAGGGAAACCAGTGAGCTCTAACCAAATCTCAGGAACAGCATGCACCTCGATGTTGTGACCTTTGTAATATACAATGAATGCCAGACACCTAGTAATCTTGTACGTAAAATGTAGAGAAATTCACTAAGGGGCAGAATTTAAATTCTTATGTACTAAAACTACAAAGCAAAAGCCACCAAAGTTACGTCCTGCAGTAGTGTGCTTATAATCAGTTGCATCTCTGGTACCCACAGCTCAGTGGCCCTGTGGCTTTGTGAGGGAGAACCTCTTGCTGAATTTACTTAGGCTTGAAGTATCGATTTCTACCCCCCTCCCCAAGGGTTCCCCCCCTCCATGGGTCCCCACCTCCCCATGGGCCTCCCCTTCCCCATGGGTCCCCCCCCTCCCCATGGGTCCGTCTGTGCTTACCGCGAATGATGATTGGTCCCTTTGCTCTTACCATGCTTATCGTCGTTTCCCTTGTTTCCCCTAGTTGGTCATTATTAATATAAGGTAAATGTCTTTTCTTTCAGTCCTCCTCGCCCTCTGACTAATATGAATGACACCATGGTTAGCCACATGTCCTCTGGAGTGCCCACTCCCACCAAGAGGTACGTATGTCTTGTGCCTTCGACTTGGGTGTTGGCCTCTGCTACTGATTTGCGATGCCCCTGCCAGAAATGAGGCCTGAAAAGCAGGTTGTTCCACAGGGCAGAAAGGACTGGTTTGCTTTCTCTTCCTTTGACCGTCTTTTAGTCTTAATTTCTACTTTTTATTTTCCTTTTTTCCCCCACCGACTCACAAATATAGCAACTGAAGTTTGGCTTTCAGTGGTGCCTCAGGTGGAAACTTCATTTGTGACAAGCAGTGGTGGCAGTGTCAGAGCAGATTAGGCACGTTTCAGATCCGTTTTTTTAACCTTAAACAATATTTTGGTAGTCGTGAGTTTCAACAGTTTTGCCTTTGAATTCTTTGTCAAAGATCATTTTTGCTCTTTGATTAGACTGTGTAAATTGAATTAATCCCTTATAAAATTTTCTCCTGAATCATTCTGTGTATGATTTATAAACATTTAAGTTGGAAAGCCTGAGTCTCTCTCTTTTGGTTATGCAAGGAGTTTGCTTTAGGGGCCTTCAAGGAATGAGAACTGTGTACTTCTTTCTCCTCTTTATTTAATTTGCTCTTCTCCAAAAATTCTCTCAGGCAGGACTTAAAAGAACTATATAAAATGGCTTTCTATTTGGTATAAGCTGTTCCATGACCCAGAGCAATGCAAAAACTCCCTCAAGGGCATGGCCATTAAAGAATTCTTTCTAACAGTCATCACTCAGAAACAAGAAAACCACAAAGACATTCCAGCCCACCCCCTAGTCCTTCCTGGAAAAAAATACATTTTGTGCCATATGTACCGATTGCTTTGGATTAATTCAGCTATAGAAATGCTATAGAAATTTTGACTATATAATACATAGTGCTTAAGACAATGATGTTTGTTCCCATTGGCTAAAACTCCTACGTCAGTGTTTATCAAACCTGACTGATGAGAAGAATCACCTGGGTCACTTGTTGAAAACAGATTTCTGGGACAACATCAGACCCAGTGAACTGGAATTTCTGAAGATAGGATCTTGAGAAGCTACATTTTTATTCCAGCTGATTCTTATCATCAAGCAAGTTTGGGCAATAGCCTGACAAGGAAGCTAACGAGTAAAGTGTAGGACTACCCTGAAGAGAGAAGTTAGGGACTTAATAAATCAGAGTGGCCTGATAACACATTACCCGCATGGAGACTCAGGACCTGACCAGGTAAGAGTACTTGCCTTTAGCCTTGCTAGGGCACTTTCCAGCAGCAAGAGAGTCAGGCCACTGCTTCTGGACAGAGCTGAGTGGTACAGGGCACCAGAGCATGGACTCTTGAGCCAGACTCTTTCTGAGTTGGAATCTGGCTCTTTGCTTACCTTGAAATGTTCTTGTCTTCATTTTTTTTTTTTTTTTAAATTTGGAGACACTGTCTCTGTCTGTCACCCAGGCTGGAGTGCAGTGGCCCAATCTTAGCTCACTGCAACCTCCACCTCCCAGGTTCAAGCGATTCTCCTGCCTCAGCCTCCCGACTAGCTGGAATTACAGGCACCTGCCACCATACCTAGCTAATTTTTGTATTTTTTTTTTTCAGTAGAGATTGGGTTTCACCATGTTGGCCAAGCTGGTCTCAAACTCCTGATCTCAAGTGATCCAACTGCCTCAGACTCCCAAAGTGCTGGATTACGGGCACGAGCCACCATACCTGGCCTTGTTTTCAATTTTTTATCTCTAAAATGGGGACAAAAATAATATCTACCTTTTGGGGTTTATGTGAGAATTTAATGTATTATTTTTATGACTTAGGAAATAAACTGGAATGTGAGAATAAGTGAGGAAGAGACAGAATAATTTACCAGCAATGCCCTCTCAAGCAGGAAAGGAATTTTTATGGACGAATACAAAGCAATTAAGCCTGTCCCACCTACCTAGATATTACGATAACCCTTGCTGTCCTTGGACTTCAGTTTTTTATGTTTAACACCCATAGCATTCAAACCCAGACTCCAGATCAAAGATGTTTCCGTTTCAAAACCAGGCAGATAAGGTGGCCGATTCAAAGAATTCAGGTCATAGTTTTCCTGTTAATTATAAGAATACCATCTCATTCAGTAGCATTTCCCATCTGAATTCTTCTCATCATTTACTAGTTCTGTCACGCTAAGTCACCCGAGTACATGAGGGCGACCACAGCTGAATGTGGCTGCTAGAGGCTATTAGAAGGAGCATGGCTTTCTGGACAGTGTTTTATTGCTTGAAAAAACTAAAAGAAGGGAGCAGTAATAATCATAGCCACCTCTGTAGAGGCCTACCCCTCAGGCTTGCTGTGTTACACCTGCAGGCTTTATTGTAAGTAGCCAGCTGTGATTGCCAGTCACAAAATGATACCTGTCATTTTTGAAAGCTGCTTCAGATAATCTATAGCCTGGATTAAGATTTCATCTTAAAGTCAGTGTTTAGCCACTCTTTCTGGTGGAATTAGCCCACCCTAGAGGTGGTTATCGTAAACTTTGCAAGGGCTGACCAGCAGACCAAAGGCAGCCAGAGGGCAGACCAGAGAAGAAGGTTGAGCTCCGATTGATTAAGAAGCACAATTACTTGAGTAGCGGCTCCATAGGAACAAAATGCTCCTACCCTACCATTACAGCCCCCAGGATTTTAGGGGATTCCATTTATATTCAGTATGAGATTGTGATATACCATGTGGATACTAATTACCTAATTCATAGACTTGGCTTTTCATGGCCCCAGTAATCAAATAGTATAAATTTCCAGGTAGTATTCTACTTGTTTCCTTAATGACTCCTCAGCTTTTCTTCCCTCCTCTGAATGTGGACAGACCTGTGTGGCCAGAGAGTCTAACGGAAGCCAGGAGCCCAGCACGTCTTGCCAGCCACAGAGCCTTACTCTGCCCAGACAGGAATGCTCGCGGAGATAGAGCAGCTACTCTCCAGAATAAGAGGTTTCTTTTAGAACTCATCCTAAGACGTCAATCACTGAATGAGACAACAACATGCACAGTGATAAAAATGCAGGAAAAATTTTAAGTGCTCTAGTTCCTACCTTTTTAATAGGCAGTGCATATAAAAATAGTGATAATCACAGTGGCCAAAAGTAATGCTGTTAGTCCAAATAAAAGATGATCTGAATGTAAGCTTTACTTTTCACAGAAGACCTTATAAATGGCAGAGATGATGACTGTCATGTGAGATAACCATAAATTATGTTCCCGAGAGGTTCTACTGTAGGGATTTGCCCTCCCTAATAATCTTTTAATATCCCTAAATTGATATCTTATAACTGAAAAGAAATTTTGTCTGCCTTAGGCTAAATACTTCCTTGAAATTTACTTTCTTTTAAAAGCGTCCACATAGTACATTTAAAAGCAAACAAGAAAAAACTTTTCAAGGCTTTAAAACATAGGCTTAAAATACCCCTCCCCTGTCCAATTTCCTAGGAGGCCCGCGTCTAGACCTCTTTTTCCCCAAGGTTCAGAATGTGAATTGTGTTCTTATGCTGCGTACTGTTCTGTTATTTTAAGTCAACTTATATTCAGACAAATATGGAAAATGATGCTAATTTTTTTTATTTTTAAATGTCTTCTAAAGCTTTAGCTGTGTTTATGGATACTTAAAGCTTAACAATTCTGTGGGAATTTCATAGAACTGTGGAAGTAACAAAAGCCTTCAGTATGCAACTTTGTGCTTTGTGCGTTCAGTTGGTATATTAATATTATGTCTCCTTTAGTTCCAAGTATTAAAATCGAACCTTAAAAGGCAAAACCCACAAAGCAAAGGCAAAAAGCAGAAAGGGAAGGGCAGAAGAGTACACAGATCACAAAAGCAGCTGGAATGCCCCCAGGCGGCCCTCCTTCTCCGAGCTGCCTCTCTCCGTGTGCCATCTTCGCTCCCCGCCACTGCAGAACAGCTGCTCCCAAGCTGCCGATGGTTGCAGACACACACCTCCCTACAGCCTTGCCCCTCCAGGGGTTGTGCTTTTCCTCCTTTGGATTAGAAAAACGCAAGGAAGGATTCTTGTGTCCTGGATTGCGTTGCTGTCCATCCTTGTGTGTATGTGAGGGACCATGCCCGTTAGACCTATGGCATCAGAGCAGAGGAAGAAGCATTTCCCCCAAAGAAGAGTATACTGCCAAGAAAAGAAGAGAGAGAGGAGGCTGAGGTAGGAGGATCGCTTGATCCCAGGAATTTGAGGCTGCAGTGAGCTATGATCATGCCGTGAATAGCCACTGCACTCCAGCCTCAGCAACATAGCGAGACTCTGTCTCTAAAAAAAAAAGAAGAAGAAGAAGAGAGAGAGATCCTGGGAAAGAAAAATAACTGAGACTGTTAGCAGACCATGGTTTTCCTACCTAGCACATAGCTGTGTGCACACATGCACACACACAAGCCTTCCCGTACACATTTCCACGTCCAGAATTTTCCTTCTTCACATAAGGCAGCCATCCATGTACAACTGCCGACGCTCTCGCACTTTTCCCAGGAGTCTTAGCCACCTCCTGTGAAAGGGACGAGGTCCAGGGTATCCAATTTATACCCAGTCATCTGGACCAGGCCTGGGTATCTCCTTTTGTGATTCATTAACCCATTAAACCATGAACCAAATGATGCATTTTAAACACTCACACACACAGTATACAAAAGTAAAGATCTCCAAATAGGATAATTGCAATTTAGAGACTTAGGGAAAAGGAAAGTAACAGATAGCATGGCATATTAAGTCACATTTGCCTGTTTCGTCCTGAAACACCACTAAAATGACAGCCAAGAGGTTTCTTTTTTTTTTTTTTTTTAAAGTAAAAACTCACAAGAACAAAGAAAAAGAAGAGAAACAATAGCAACAAAATTTTGGTAGCAGCCAAGCAAATGGATGAGTGGTAACGAACTTAACAGAGAAAAACTAAAACGTAGGCTAAAAGTAAGACAAGCCCAGAAGAAAGCCAACCCTAGGAATTAGAACGCTCTGGAAACGCAGATTCAGAATGATTGGCTCATAGTCCCTGGAAAAGGTAGAGGTACTCAGGAATTACAGCTATGGGCTTCTCTTTTGGGTGGCTTCTGAAAAAAACTGTGTTATGTATTATATCACACCTCCTTTTGCATAGATGTGTTTTAGAAGAGGTCTTTTTTCCCTAACACTTCACTTTTATTTCTCCCAACAAATAATATTCTCTCAAAAATAGAAATAATTATTTCTATTCTGTTTTGTTCAGTTGTTGATGATGTATTGACTTGGGACATAATACCATCTTTGGATGGGAAATGGTAAATATTAGAGCCTATAATCCTGAGTAGTCCTAATTGCTAGCACTTTTAGGTAAAGGCGAGATTTTATCATAGCATATTTACTTTAATTTATACTTCATAAAAAAGAAAAGCAGTTTTTGAAGATCAGAAGATGCCACAGTATAAATATTATTTCTGAACTGTAAAAACATGGCCAAATTAAGAGATGAGTTAATATAATAGTACACGCATACCTCAGAGACACGGCAGGTTTGGTCCCAGACCACCGCAATAAAGTGTATATTGTAATCAAGTGACTTATACAAACTTTTAAATTTCCCAGTACATATAAAAGTTTTGCTTACACTATACTATAGCCTCATAAGTGTGCAATAGCAGTATATATTTTAAAAGTATGTACCTTAATTTTAAAATTATCTAATTGCTAAAAAATGCTAATGATCATCTGAGACTTCAGCAAGTTCTAGTCTTTTTGCTGGTAGAGAGTCTTGCCTCAATGCTGATGGCTGCTGACTAAGCAGGATGGTGGTTGCTGAAGACTGGGATAGCTGTAGCAAATTCTTAAAATAAGACAACAATGAAGTTTGCCCCCTTAATGGACTCTCCCATTTGTGGAAGATTTCTCTGTGGCATGTGATGCTGTTTGATAGCATTTTACCCACAGTAGAACTTCTTTCAAAACTGTAGTCAGTCCTCTCATACCCTGCCACTGCTTTGTCAACTAAGTTTATATAATATTCTAAATCCTTGTCATTTCAGTGATGTTCACAGCATCTTAACCAGTAGATTCCATCTCAAGAAACCCCTTTCTTTGCTTATCCGTAAGAAGCAACTCCTTACCTTTTCAAGTTTTATTATGAGATTGCAGCAATTCAGTCACACCTTCAGGCTTCACACCTAATTCTAGTTCTCTTGTTTTTTTCTACCACATCTTCAGTTACTTCCTCTACTGAAGTCTTGAACCCCTAGAATTCCATGAGGGTTGGAATCAATTTCTTCCAAACTCCCATTAATGTTTGTTTTAACCTCCTCCCATGAATCACAAATGTTTTTAATAGCATCTAGAATGATGAATCCATTACAGAGGTTTTCAATTTACTTTGTCCAGACTCCATCAGAGGAACCACTCTATCTATGGCAGCTATAGTCTTACAAAATGTATTTCTTACATAATAAGACTTGAAAGTCAAAATTATTTCTTGGCTGGGTGTGGTGGCCTATAACCCCAGCACTTTGGGAGGCCGAGGCAGGTGGATCACCTGAGGTCAGGAGTTCCAGACCAGCCTGGCCAACATGGTGAAACCCTGCCTCTACTAAAACTACAAAAATTAGCTTGGCATGGTGGCACCTGCCTGTAATCCCAGCCACTTGGGAGGCTGAGGCAGGAGAATTACTTGAACCCGGGAGGTGGAGGTTGCAGTGAGCCGAGATTGTGCCATTGCACTCCAGCCTAGGTGACAAGAGCGAAACTACTTCTCAAAAAAAAAAAAAAAAAAAATTACTTCTTGATCCAGGGGCTGCAGGATGGATGTTGTGTTAGCAGGTGTGAAAGCAACATTCATCTCCTTGTACATCTTCTTCAGAGCTCTTAGGAGCCACATGCATTGTCAATGAATGAGCAGTACTGTTTTGAAAGCAATCTTTTTTTCTGAACAGTAGGTCTCAACAGTAGGCTTAAAATATTCATTAAACCGTGCTGTAAACAGATGTGCTGTCATCCGGGCTTTATTCTTCCTTTTATGGAGTGCAGGCAAGGTAAATTTAGCATAATTCTGAAAGGCCCTAAAATTTTCAGAATGGTAAATGAGCATTGGCTTCAAGTTAAAGTCACCAGCTGCATTAGCCCCAGCAAGAGAATCAGCCTGTCCTTTTGAAGCTTTAAAGCCAGGCATTGACTTCTTCTCTCTAGCTATGAAAGCCCTAGATGGCATCTTCTTCCGATAGAAGCCGGTTTCATCTCATCAAAAATCTGCAGTTTTTGTGTAGCTGCTTTCGTCAATGATCTGAGCTAGATCTTCTGGACAACTTGCTGCAGCTTCTCCATCAGCACTTGCTGCTTCACCTCACACCTGCATGTTATGGAGATGGTTCTTTCCTTAAACCTCATGAACCAACCTCTGTTAGCTTCCAGCTCTTCTTCTGCAACTTGCTCACCTCTCTCAGCCTTCATAGAATTGAAGAGAGTTAGGGCCTTCCTGGATGAGACTTTGGCTTAAGGGAATGTTGCGGCTGATTTGATCTTCTATCCAGACCACTAAAACTACATCAGCAATGAGGCTGTTTTGCTTTCTTCTCATTTCTGTGTACAGTGGAGTACCACTTTTAATTTCCTTCAAGAGCTTTCCTTTGCATTCATAGCTTGACTGTTTGGCACAAGAGGCCTTGCTGTCAGCCTGTGTTGGCTTTCGACATGCTTTCCTCACTAAGCTTAATCATTTGTAGCTTTTGATTTAAAATAAGAGATATGCAACTCTTCCTTTCACTTGAGCACTTAGACATCATAATAGGGTTATGAACTGGCCTAATTTCAATATTTTTATGTCTTAGGGAATAGGGAGGCCTGAGAAGAGAGAGAGAGAGATGGTCAGTGAAACGGTCAGAACACATATTGATTGATTAAGTTGGCTATCTTATGTGGGCATGGTTTGTGGCACTCCAAAACAATTACAATAGTAACACCAAAGATGACTGATCACAGATCACCATAACCGATATGATGATAATAATGGAGAAGTTTGAAGCATTGCCAGAATTACCAAAATGTGGCACAGAGACACCAAGTGAGCACATGCTGTTGGAAAAAATGGCACCAGTGGCCTTGCTCAACTCAGGGTTGCCACAAATGTTCAATTTGTAAAAAGCACAGTATCTGTGAAGCATGATAAAGCAAAGCACAATAAAACAATGTGTGCCTGTATTAAAATGGCTTTCTGACTGGGTGACAAGGTAAAGAGTTTATCTTATTATCTATAGAATATAGCAGAATGACAAAAATCACTATGTTTTTGTTTTTTTAAGACCAAGGACAATAGAGATGTTGGGGGAAACTAAGAAAAGGAATAAAACAAAAGTGATCAAGTCAGAAACTATCCATATGTGGACTCAGTGCATGGATTCTCTTCCCACCTGTGAAATGAGAAAAATAGAGTTTGTTTGAAAAGCAAGAATTAATGATAGTTTCAGGAAACAACTAGCATGTATGAAGTCTTTGTGAGAATTTCACCAAGTCAACACAAGAATAGTTTTTTCTCCAGCGTTTTTTTTTTTTTTAAGACAGAAAAGCAGAGTAATTGAAAATTAACACATAATCTTAGAGAACTGCAGGGTCCTTAGTGTTGGCAGGTGTCCAGAGCCTGTCTGACAGCCTGGGCAGACCGCCAGTTTTCAGCTGCTTCTGGGTTGGGATTAGATTCCATTTCCACTCAAGCATTTAAGGTAAGCCTTTCACCAGTTCTAACTCAGATTAGTACAAACAGAAAGTTTGAGTATTTCCAAGTCCATACTTAAATACCTTAGTTTGAAAAATAGAAGCTGACAGAAGCATAATAACTAATAGTTTGTTTCTTCTTCGCGTTGGACTGAGGCTTGAGGTCCTGAGCGTGACCAAGCGTCACATCCGTCATAGACCATCGGCAGAGCCGACTGGAAGGAGCAAGTTTGGGGAAAAAGATCTCAAGTGCAATGTTGTCGTGTTCAGATTGAGATGCTTGTGGGATGCTGGGAGTGAAGACAAGCTTTGTAAATTTTGGATGTGGGTGGGGCGAGGAAAAGTGAGGATCGTTTTCAGATTTCTCCCTGGCTTGAATTAAGGTCCCTTTGGTCAAAACACTGGAGGAAGATTTGTGCCAGAAGAACAAGGTTGGGAACCAGACCATCGTTTTTGTCATCCAGATTCTTCCAGCGAATCTCACACCAGCAAAGGAGATACAAATACTTAGAGCCAACAAATGACCAGTAGAACCTGACATGCATACATGCGCACACACCCCTTTTCTCTCTAGCAGCCCCCACACATACTCTCTTCCTCTCTTACTATGTAATGTCTCTGTCTGTCTCTCTTTCTGATACACACATGAACACACACATGCTTTTAAAAAACACATTTTTACACACACATGCTTTGGGGCTTTTCACTGAAATATGTTTTGACCTTATCTCCTAAGAAGCTGACTCATTGTAGTTGCTTCCATCAAGTGATGGTGATGGGCCATAGCCTGGCACACAGAACAAACATTTCCAAATGCTGAAATTCCCGTGCTGATCCAGCCTAGACCTACTATGTTTAACCAGAGATTTTTTTTCACTCCTCTTAATACCAAACTAGTAAAATATTTCAGCTCACTTCAGCTAGTAAAGCAAACACTTAAAGCAAATCAGTGCTGTGGTACAGTTCTCAACTTTTTCATGGATCTTATTGGGGAATCTCCAGTCTACTCCCCACTTTACCCCCAATTTAGTCTTTTCTTTGCAGCTGCAGGGGTTTTTCTGAAATGCGAATCTGATTATGTTATTCTTCCGATTGAAACTTGCCAGTGGATCTTCTTTGCTGCAGCACTGTCTGGTAGCGTGGAAGTGTTCTGTGCTAACCAGTATGGGAGCCAACTAGCCACATGTGTCTGTCGAGTACTTGAGATGTGACAGAGAAAATGAATTGTTAATTATTTATTTATTTATTTAGGGATGGAGTTTCACTCTTGTCACCCAGGCGCTAGGGTGCAGTGGCACAATCTTGGCTCACTGCAACCTCTGCTTCCTGGGTTCAAGCAATTCTCCTGCCTCATCCTCCTGAGTAGCTGTGACTACAGGCGTGTGCCACCACACCCAGCTAATTTTTCTATTTTTAGTAGAGATGGGGTTTTACCATGTTGGCCAGGGTGGTCTTGAACTCCTGACCTCAGGTGATCTACCTACCTCGGCCTCCAAAAGTGCTGGGATTACAGGCATGAGCCACTGCACCCGGCCTAATTTTATTTAATTGGAGTGAATTGGAATTTAAAATAGCCATAGGTAGCTGATGGCCACACAGTTCTACAAGCTAAAACCCCCATTCTTCAGTGTGGCTTACAAGGCCCTTGTTTCTGAGCTGACCCTTGCCAGCCCTTCCAGCCCTACCTCGTCCCACTCTCTCTTCTCAGCATCCATACTCAGAAGCACTTGGACCTCTCACAATGCCCCAGGCAGGTGGCTGCATATGCCACTTCTCCCTGAAGGACCTCCCCATCCTTTTCACCTTTGTTCTCTCTTCTTTGTCATCTAATTCTTCCTTCTCATCTTAGCTTTGACTCCTCCAATAAGCCTTCCGTAACACCCTAAAACTATATTATGTGATCTTCTGTGAGCCGCAGCGTCTGGTACATATCATAGTATCGTAGTAGCTGTGTGTTCGATGCCTTTCTAGACTACAAGCTCTTTGAGGGTGTAGACTCCCCAGGCTTGGGCCAAAAACAAATTCCGTCTCTCAAAATCTTCTTGCTGCTGCTTGCCCCTTAATTAGTACTTCCTCTGCTAGGAAAGGGATTTTCTTTTTCAGTTATTTCAAATAAATCACATAGTACTGCCTGCTTATTCCATTCAGAGCAGGGAAATTAAAAAGAAAGGTATTATTCCTCTATTTTATACATATTATGTGTAAATATAATATTACATTGCGTTTCACATGACTAACTAGTAGGAAGGTTAACCGATTACTAGAATTTTATGTACATTAAACCCAAGCATTGATTGATAGCGGGTCCTTAACCTCATTGAGCTTATTTACTCAGGAGAAAACATAAATGGGGGGGTGGGGAGGGAAGAAAGTGGAAGGACTAGATATGTTTTCTTGTTCAATATGACATTTATTTGGTAAAGATTTTTGATGCAGGCCAGATGCGGTGGCTCACGCCTGTAATCCCAGCACTTTGGGAGGTCGAGGCAGGTGGATCTGGATTGCTTGAGGCCAGAAGTTTGAGACCAACCTGGCCAACATAGCGAAACCCTGTCTCAACGAAAAATACAAAAATTAGCCGGGCTTTGTGGTGCACACCTGTAGTCCCAGCTACTCAGGAGGCTGAGGTAGGAGAATTGCTTGAACCTGGGAGACGGAGGTTTCAGTGAGCAATTGAGATTGGGCCGCTGCACTCCAGCCTGAGCAACAGAGTGAGTGAGACTCCGTCTCGGGAAAAAAAAAAAAAAAAGATTTTTCATGCACTTCGTGTTGGGAAAGAGGTCATTTGACAAATTTAGATAGCATCACGACTGCTACTTCATCAAGACGAGACCCCGCTGGGTAGATAAGCACAGGAAAGGTGAGTAGTGGTGAACAGTTCTTAGAGAGCCCCATGTCACTCCAGGTCCTTCATTCTGTCCATAACCTGGCTGTGCCAGAGAACCTATAGAGCCTGGCATGTCATTGGGCTTGTTTGTCTCTCTCACACGCCCTCATGGGACAGTACTATTTTTTCTCATTAGCTTGTAATACAGCGAAGGCACACACTATTTTCTTTCCCCTAAACAGAGTTGATTGCATCAAGCCACAACCTATGAGACAGTGAGCTGTTGGAAGGATGTTGTACTTCCTTGCCCTTTGTGGCTAAAGTCCTTTGAGGAGAGATAATCCAGATGGGGAGTGTCCTTACATTCTATAAATCCATCTCTTCCACGCTAGTGCCTTGACATTGTGTATTTTTTTTTAGTGACAGAGGAGAAAAGGAACTTAATTTGCTGAGAATTATTTATGGTGTGCTGAAGGATCACATTAGAGAAGAGTAACATTGCTTGCCCCATGGATCTGAGAGTCTCAGTCAGGCATTTAGAGTACTGTTATACTGATATAACAGCAGGCATGTGTTTACATTGCTATAACAGGACACAGCTTTACATACTGTGATCCAAAATTGTTGTCTTCAGGCCGGGTGCAGTGGCTCACACCTGTAATCCTGGCACTTTGGGAGGCCAAGGCGGGTGGATCACCTGAGGTCAGGAGTTCAAGACTGGCCTGTCCAAAATGGTGAAACCCCATCTCTACTAAAAATACAAAAAATTAGCTGGGTGTGGTGGTGGATGCCTGTAATCCCAGCTACTTGGGAGACCGAGGCAGGAGAATTGCCTGAACCTGGGAGGCAGAGGTTGCAGTGAGCTGAGATCACACCACTGCACTCCAGCCTGGGCACAACAGAGCAAGTCTCTGTCTCAAAAAAAAAAAAAAAAAAAAAATTGTCGTGTAAGAATCTACTCTGAAATGTGCTACTTTCAGTGCTAATCCCTAGCCTGCATCCACTTACCTAGGGTTTCCTTACTAAAGTCACTGATTATTCTGGGTGTTCGGGTTTTCACTGGAATATTTTTTTGTACGTCTTCCTCCTGCTTTGGTGGTTCCTACAGATTTCTCCCATCATGACAGAACTACTGATATTTCTTCACACTTCAGGACTTTCCAGAGTCAGAGAATTGTCTTACAATTTACTGTTAGAATCAGCTGGCCTTGTGCATTTATTGTGGAGGACACAGAAATGCTTTTCTGAGCTTCTCACTCAGCATTTCTCATAGAGCTTCCATGTAGGATCTTTCTTGGGGCGATCTGGTCTCTTTGAAGTTGTGGAGGCCAGGCTATGTGAAAGGTGACAGTGGTCGTTTCTTCTCCTAGCCTTAAATTTTAGCAGATGATATTGCACGGCCTCCTCACTGAGTTTCTTGCCTTCTCTTTTGCCTCACTCTGGTCTGCTTTTTACACTGCAGGTAGTCATTTCTCCAAAGCACTGTCTAATCATGACAGTCCCCTGCTTAAAACTCAGGAGCATCTCATTGTGCCTTAGAGAAACACCAGTTCTTTAACATGGCTTGGGACTGGGCGCAGTGGCTCACACCTGTAATGCCAGCACTTTGGGAGGCCAGACAGATCACTTGAGGTCAGGAGTTTGAGACCAGCCTGGCCAACATGATGAAAGCCCATCTGTACTAAAAATAGGAAAAATCAGCTGGGCGTGGTGGTAAGTGCCTATAGTCCCAGCTCCTCAGGATGCTGAGGCACAAGAATCACTTGAACCCAGGAGGCGGAGGTTGCAGTGAGCTGAGATCACACCACTGCACTCCAGCCTGTGTGACAAGAGTGAGACTCCATCTCAAATAAGTAAGTGAATGAATGAATGAATGAATAGGCTTGGGCAACCCTTCATGGTGCCCAGCCTGTCTCCCCAGCCTCATTTTCCAATGCTCTCCCCTACTCTTCAAGCTGGGACTCTTCAGTACCTGGAGTATGCTGTAAATTCTCTCACCTGCACTTTTGCACATACCCTTCCCTCTGCCCGGCACCCTCTTTATCCAACATCTTCACCTAGCCAACCCTGTTTATCACCCAAGTTTCAACTTTGATGTCACTTTCTGAGGGAGGACTTTTCTGATCTCCTGGACTAGGTCAAATATTCTATATATGATCTCCGCAAACATCCTTTTATAACATTCCCTACCCTTATAAATACTTGATTAATGTCAGTATTTCAGTATTCCTCTCAAGGCTGGGCACTTCACAAGGATGGAGCTACATTTGTTTATCACCGTAGTTCCAGTACTGATGTAGATCTGGCACATAGATACTCGGTAAATATATTGAAAACTCAGTACAACTAAATATTTACTATTTGGCCACTCTGTGTCATGCAATTCAGTTTTGTCCCCCAATCACAATTCCAACTGTGACTACATTGAACTTGATGCATTTATAGCTTATATTTGTAGGATAAGTCATTATCCTATTTTCTGACCTTATAGGTAAACACTTTAGAGTTTATATCTGTTTTCTAAAATAACCACATATTAGGGACCCTGTCATTGACCAAGAACACACAAAAAGTGCTTTCATGAGCCCCGAAGACAGAAGGCAAGGCAAGAGCATTGTTCCGAAACAGATTTCTAGTGTTCATGTCTAGCAGCTTCTTTATTTTGCACTTGACCCTGATTTAACTTGTTACTCCTGGCTTATTTCTTAAACTTGGCTTTATAAACTCGTGTTGACCCCTTGTCAGACTCCAAAGGGGCCAGTTTCTTGCTGTGGTTCTCTTTGGACTCCCGTCCTTGCGCTTTGGCCCTCGGTCGTTTTGTAGACTTACATACTACCTTCAAACTCAGACCCAGTGGAGGAGCAGCTGAAATCCATGTGGCCACTGTTCCAACATGGACAGTTCAGACAAGCATATTGCAGCCTGGAATGGTCCTGTTAGATTAGGAGCACCCTGGAGTTGATCCTGGGCTGGAAGGTTTGCCAGGAAGCAAAGTATGTTTGTTCCAGAGTTGCTTTTCCTGGGAGCTTCATCCTGTTATGACAACTTGGAATGGTGCAGCTATCTTCCTTAGTTTCTCACCTTCATAGCAATGAATCCCTAGGCTACCTAAAACTTACCTAAGGCATAGTAGGGTTCGAGAGCCACTTTGGAATCAAAACAGACTTATGGTTGTAAGCCACTTTAGTTCCTAACATCCAACTAAATTCAAGAATATAAGACAAAGACTCCCGAACTCCTCTCAGATATTGGCATGTGCACAGGTATATAACTGACCTCAGAACACTTCCCAGCCACCACATGGTACACACAAGGGCAGCGGTTGGCAAACTACAGCTTGTGCCAACTCCTGCCCTTGTGTATACCATGTGTATACTTGTTTTGTAAATAAAGTTTTATTGGAACATACTTGTTTATATATTGGCTATAGCTGCTTCCCCTACCATGGCAGACTGAGTAGCTGCAACAGAAACCTTATGGCCTACAAAGCCTAAAATATTTACTATCGGACCCTTTGAGAACAATAAGCATTTCATCTTGTCTTGGATTTAGAATAAGGATGTTAAAAAGAAGAGATGCAGCTCTATATACAATTTTTTTTTATTACTTAGACTCAGAATTTCAGAGCTGATAAAAGGTACTTTATAAGTCAGCATGTTGTGGTCCATTACTGGACTCAACATAGGTAATGAAATATGATTACAAGGCTGGGCGCTAGTGGCTCACACCTCTAATCCCAGCACTTTGGGAGGTCAGGGTGGGAGGATCACTTGAGGCTAGGAGTTCAAGACCAGTATGGGCAACACAGCAAGACCACATATTTACAAAGAATTTTTTTCTTTACCTGTCTGGGCCTGATGTTACCCGCCTGTAGTCCCAGCTACTCTAGAGACTGAGGTGCAAGGATTGCTTGAGCCCAGGAGTTTGAGGCTGCAGTGAGTTGTGATCATACCACTGCACTCCAGCCTAGGTGACAGAGTGAGACTCTGTCTCAAAAAAAAAAAAAAAAAGAAAGAAAGAAAACAAAGATTACATCAAATTTAGTAGGCCTTTACATCTTCTTCATTCGTAGTATAGTAGCAGTAGTCAAAGGTACAAATGTTGGCCCCTTTGAAATTTAGAATAACAAATATGGAGATGAATCTCTATTCTCTCACTTCAACTTGCCCAAGGGCTTGATTATTGGGAAGATGAATGTGGCTTAGTGTTTGAGTTCCCATGAAATTAAAAGAGTATAATACACTTATTCAGAGAGGAGCTGGTAATTAGTAACTGGTAGAAGGACTATCTCCATCAAGGAAGATAATATTAGTAAATAATTGTCCTACCAACACTCAACCAGTACATTAGAGATCACTTTGACGGAACTCTTTCACGCTTTTAACCTTCTTCAGAGATGACTTCCTTAAAGGTCTAACACTTTGAAACATGGTCGCCAGAATTACTCTCATTGTTTGAGGAGAAACAACAGCGTTCGGAAAAAAATTATCTTAAAATCCATTATAACAACTCTTTGTAATATTCCCCAAATTCTGTATTTTCACCTACGTTACATATATAAAAATTTAGGTGCCATAAGAAAATGTCACTGAACTCTGCCTGTCAATTCAAGAACAGAAATTCAATCTAAACTTCTGCCCCAAATTGTGTATTTCCCAAATGTGGATCAACTCCCTGGTCACAAACACACTGTAACTGCTCTTGCAATGACAGCCACCTCAGCGCAGCACTCGCCTGGCTGAGTGACTCGGCCACAGGAGCTCCCCTGCGTTCTCTAACACGGCACTTGGTGTTTACTCCTGCCCTTTGCTGCTGTCAACTCCATTTCACTTTAAGCTTGGTGTGGCAGAGAGAGTATGAGCTCTGAAGTCACCTAGGCCTGGGTTCAGGGTCAAGCTTTGTCACTTACCTGTTGACAGAATTATTGAGTTAACTCTTTACACTTAAGTACTTCTTTCTTTTTGTTTGTTTGTTTGAGACATAGTCTTGCTCTGTTGCCCAGGCTGGAGTACAGTGGCACAATCTCGCCTCACTGCAAACTCTGCCTCCCAGGTTCAAGCGATTCTCTGCCTCAGCTTCCCAAGTAGCTGGGATTACAGGCACGCACCACTACGCCCAGCTAATTTTTGTATTTTTTAGTAGAGACAGGGTTTCACTATATGTTGGCCAGGCTGATCTCGAACTCCTGACCTCAGGTGGTCTACTCCTTAGCCTCCCAAAGTGCTGGGATTACAAGCGTGAGCCACCACACCCGGCCTTAAGTACTTCTTTAGAAGTAACTGATTATTTCATCTTTAGGCTAATTCATTAGTTCAGCAAATATTTGCTGAGCACCTGATATGTGCGAGGCACTGTTTCAGGAGGTGCCTGGTGATTTAGCTGTGTAAAAATAGGTCTCTGCTTTTATGTAGCTGCTGTTCTAGCAAAGAAGACAGAAAAATATTGTTTTATAATATAATAAAGAATAGTGGTAAATGCTGTGCAGAAAAATAGAGAGTGAATGGGGCAGAGAGTTTCAGGTTTTAGATTGGATGATCAGGGAAGGACCCTCCGGAGAGACGACTTTGATCAGGAATCTGAATGATGTGAGGAGGAAAGAGGGCCATGCCGGCATCTCAGGGAAGATTGTTCCAGGCAGAGGGAATGGGGAGGATAAAGGTCCCATGGTGGGAAGGTACTGGGTGTTTTCTGGAATAGTGGAAAGGTCAGCACGGCTGAAGCGCGGTGAGCAGAGGGCCGAGCGTAGAAAACCAGCTGGAGAGGCAGCAAGGGGCCAGATCACACAGGGGAGATGGGATTTGATTTTTAAAAAGCATTTTTAATAAGATTTATTATAGAATAGTTTTAGGCTTAAAGAAAAGTTGCAAAAGTAGTACAGTAAGTTCCCATATACATACCCCTTCCTTTGTTTCTTTTCTTTCTTTTTTTTTTTTTGAGACGGAGTCTCGCTCTGTCGCCCAGGCTGGAATGCAGTGGCTCGATCTCAGCTCACTGCAAGCTCTGCCTCCCAGGTTCACCCCATTCTCCTGCCTCAGCCTCCTGAGTAGCTGGGACTACAGGCGCCCGCCACCACGCCCGGCTAATTTTTTGTGTTTTTAGTAGAGACAGGGTTTCACTGTGTTAGCCAGGATGGTCTCAAACTCCTGACCTCAGGTGATCCACCTGCCTGGGTCTCCCAAAGTGCTGGGATTACAGGTATGAGCCACCGCACCCGGCCCTGTTTCTTCTAATATTGCTAACTTATGTTGCCTGGGTGCATGTGTCACAACTAAGAAATAATACCCATACACTACTGTGAATTAAGTTCCAGACTTTATTCCTGTTTCACTAGTTTATCCACTCATGCCCTTTCTCTGTTCTGGGATGCCACATCTCATTTAGTCATCCTGTCTCCCTGGCTCCTTCTGTTCTGTGAGTTTCTTAGTCTTCCCTTATTTTTCATGACCTTGGCAGTTTTGAGGAGTACTGGTCAGATATTTTGCAGAATGTCCTTCATGGTTTTCTCATGATTACACTGTGATTATGGGTTTAGGGGAAGAAGAACACAGAGGCAAGTGCCCTTCTCACTGCATCATAGAGAACCTGCTGTCAGCATGACTTCTCGCTGCTGATGGGAATCTTGGTCTCCTGTCCAAAGCATCATTGACAAGGTTTCTCACTCTTTTCCTACTCTGTTCTTTGGAAATCCCTAAGCATGGTTCATACTCAAGGGCAGGGGTGAGGAATTAAGCTCTACTCGCCTGGAGAGGGAAGTATCTACACCCTCTGTATATCTCCCATTTGTTGATTTAATCATTTATTTATATCAGTGTGGACTCATGGATGTTTATTTTATGCTTTGGGTTATAACCCAATACTGTTTAATACATTATTTATTTTGTTGCTCAAATTGTTCCAACTCTGGCTAGTGGGAGCTCTTTCTGGTTGGGTCCTGTGTCCCTTTGACATGCTGCCTTTTGTTTTTTAAGCACTTACTTAGGTTGTGGCATTACAACATGCTCCAGGCTCATCTTGTATTCCCTGCCCCAGCCCTAGAATTGCATTTTCCTAGGGAGCCCTGGCTCCTTTATTAGAGAATGGTATTAGAAATCAGTGTGTACAGGCTGGGCACGATAGCTCATGCCTGTAATCCCAACACTTTGGGAGGCCAAGGCGGGCAGATCACCTGAGGTCAGGAGTTCGAGACCAGCCTGGCCAACATGGCGAAACCCCAACTCTACTAAAAATTATTTAAAAATTAGCTGGGCTTGGTGGTGCGCACCTGTAGTCCCAGCTACTTGGGAGGCTGAGGCACGAGAATCGTTTTAACCGAGGAGGCAGAGGTTGCAGTGAGCCGAGATTGCGCCACTGCACTCCAGTGCAGCCTGGGCAACAGAGCCCAGGCTCTGTTGAGGAGGAAAAAATAAAAGAAATCAGTATGCGTATATGCACATGCCTGTAATTATTTCTCTATCCATCTGTATCTGCATTAAGGTATTTGTGAGTTACGCTGAAGTATCTGACTCTAATCCAGTACCACGGGGTTTCCTCTAGCTGTCCCCACCTTGGTTGTCTGTAACTTCCCTCTCCAGGGGTGAGACACCTGGCTCCCATCATCTACCATCCATTGACTTATTCGTTCCGTGCCTGCAGCACGTGTAGCAGTTTCAGAATTATTAGTTAGGACCCTTGATTTGTTTTTTAAACAGATTTATTGAGATATAACTCACACACTGTACAATTCATCCATTCAAGATGTACAATTCAGTGGTTTTTAGTGTATGCACTGAGTTGTGCAGCCACTACTGAAATCAGTTTTAGAACATTTTCATCACCCCAAACTGACAAGGCCACTCATTGCAGCGTGGAGAATCAACTGTAGAGTGTATGAGCAGAAGAGTGCACAGTCAAGAGGCTATTGGGGCAGTGTAAGCGAGAACTCCTAAGAAGTTGCTCAGGAGAAGTCATGGCGGCAGTGGAGGTGATGAGAAAATAAGAGCCATCAGGACTTGCAGTGGATTGGATGTGTGTTCAAGGAAAAGAGAGAAATTAAAAAGACCCCTCTGGTTTTGGCCTGATGGCTGGGTATAGTGATGCCATTTATTTAAGCTGGTCAGTCTGGGGAAGAGCAGGTGAGGAGGTGGGGTGGAAAGAATCAAGAGTTCTATTTTGAGCATATTAGGTTTGAAATGCCCATTGGGCACCCAAGGGGAGGTGTTGAGTAGACCATCAATTACATGATTCTGGAGCTCGAGGGAGAGGTCAGGGCTGGAAATGTAAAATCATGAGTGTTACCATAATCCCTTTCTTGTAAGAGTGTTCTGAGTAGGCCGGGCGCGGTGGCTCACGCCTGTAATCCCAGCACTTTGGGAGGCCGAGGCGGGTGGATCACGAGGTCAGCAGATCGAGACCATCCCGGCTAAAATGGTGAAACCCCGTCTCTACTAAAAATACAAAAAATTAGCCGGGCGTGGTGGCGGGCGCCTGTAGTCCCAGCTACTTGGGAGGCTGAGGCAGGAGAATGGCGTGAACCCGGGAGGCGGAGCTTGCAGTGAGCCGAGATCCCGCCACTGCACTCCAGTCTGGGCGACAGAGCGAGACTCCGTCTCAAAAAAAAAAAAAGAGTGTTCTGAGTATAAACAAGAGAAGATATATAAGAGTATCTGATAGGTCACAAGTACCTTGTTGCTAATGACTATGACAACATATGTGCCAGATGCTTTTTGACATTATTTTATCCAATCTTCCCAACAGTCTACAAAATAAATATCTTATGAGGTAGATTTTATATTATTATTATTTTACAGATGAGGGGACTAAGCATAGAGAAGTTATTGTCCAACTGGATTAAAAACCAAAGCCCATGCTCTCAATTGCTGTATTCCACTGCCTCCTGCTTGGTACATAATTGTTACCATTGGCTCCAGGCTGCTCCTCTACACCCAGCCTCAGGACAAGGTCAGGGGCTTGTCCTGCCTCTGACCTTGTCCCGCTATTGCTCACTCTTCATCCCCACTTCCCCCATTTCAGTCCCGTCCCCTTGCTCCCTGTCCCTACAGATGTGCCTCCTGATGGCTTGCCTGCTACCACTAGAAATTCTGCTGACATCACGAGATATTATCACCATCTCTTAGAGAGCAGTTCTCACACTGGAATGCAGCTAGCGCACCTGCAAACTTGTTCTAAATGCAGATTCCCAGGCTGCGTTCCCCGATTGATTGAGCAGAAGCCTGGGAGTTCTAAAGGAGGTAGTCAGGGGAAACATATCTTTAGAAATGCTGCTTTAGACTCTACCAGTCCCATTCAAGACCCTCTGTCCTCAGCTCTGGTCATCATTAGCATTGGCTTAGAGCTAGGGGATGCCTTGGGAATGTGCCGATCACGGAGCCTCACGGAGTGTTCATCTTATTGTCACTCCTCATTTTAGCTCTGTGGTCGTTGTACTGACCTTTGCTTTTGCTGATCTCCCTGATTGGATAAAATTGTATTGTGTCCTCTCAGAGGAGGACAGTGTCCCCGCTCATCAAAACACTTACTACATTTGCAAGTTTACGTTTATTGGTGTGGTCATTTCTTTTCCTACTGGAGTGTTGTTAGCAGCAGCCATGTCTGGGTTTTGTTTACTGTGGTGTCTTCATCACTGGATACCTAGTAGGTGCTCCGTACATTGTTTCAGGTGCTCAATTTCCATCAGTAATGCTGTTAGAACTATTGGGTATTTAGGCATCACCTCGTTTTATGGATTGAATTGACATTTGACAGTTTAGGAATTCTTGTTTTTATAGGAAAAAAATCTGAATTGTAAACTATTGACTCTGCTTTGGAAAAACAAATTTCTGAAACAAACCTTGTTTGTTAGTTGGGGGTTATATATATGTTGCATATTTATGTATATATGTATATTTATATTTTATCAAAAAGGAAAGAGTTTAAATTTTCTTAATCTGGTAAACTAGGTACAACTTTGAATGGGGGAAGAACATTACACCCCACACCCCAAACAAAATTATCAGAAAATTCATGGTCATTTAACTTCCTTATCTAACTACTAAGAATGCTTTTCATTGTGTTCCAGATCTCTAATTATATGACAAACAATACTGGTTCTGAATAGAAGTCTTCCTATAGGCCAGGCCTGGTGGCTCACGCCTGTAATCCCAACACTTTGGGAGACCAAGGCGGGCGGATCACCTAAGGTCGGGAGTACAAGACCAGCCTGGCCAACATGGCAAAACCCCATCTCTACTAAAAATACAAAAATTAGCTGGGCGTGGTGGCACACACCTGTAGTCCCAGCTGCTCAGGAGGCTGAGGCAAGAGAATTGCTTGAACCCAGGAGGCAGAGGTTGTAGTGAGCCTCTGCAGTGATCACACCACTGCAATGCAGCCTGGGTGACAGAGTGAGACTCCGTCTCAAAAAAAAAAAAACAAAAAACCTTTCTTGGCCTCAGTTCCCTTTCTAGGTACCCTCTATATCTCTCCTTCCCATTTCAGAAAAACTTCTTTAAAGGGTTATCTGTAGAAAGAAACTTCAATTTCTGTTCTGCCATTTCCTTTCAAACACACCCAGTCAGACTTTCACCTCCTGTTATTTTGCCAAAACTATTTATGTCAAGCACACTGGTGACTTCTAAACCACAGAATCCAGTGGTCAGTTTTCAGTAGTTAACCTTACTTGATCTGTCAGTAGCGTTTGACATAGATCTCTCCTTTCTACTTGAAACGCCTGTTGCACGTGGCCTCCGGATATCATGCTCTCCTAGTTTTTCTCATTTCTTCTTGGCCTCCTTTGCAAGTTTTTCCACACTCCTTTGAAATCCGAATGGTAGTGTGTGACAGGGACCACTTCTCTTTTCTGTCTTCACTCACTGGTAGTAGGCAGCTGTAGCCAGACTCATACTTTTTATAACACTGATAATATTGGTGACTTCTAAATGTATTTTTCTGGCCACAGCTTTTCCCTGAGCCCTTACCTCGTATATCCACCTCCTGATGAGTACCTTCGCTTGGATATTTAATACATATCTCATAATTAGCATGTTCCAAACTGAGTTCTCTATCATCCCCCACCAGACCTACTTCTCCCTTAGCCTTCCCCATCAGTTCATGACAATCCCATTTTCCCAGTTGCTCATTCAGAACCCTTGATTCCTCTCATTCCCTTACATCCATCTCCACTTCCTGACTATGAGATCAACTGTATACAAAAACACCATGGAAATTTGTTCAAGATTCTGTTATTTCTTACGACCTCTGTTAAATGCTGTTTTCCTAGCCCACTCTTGTCTCTCACCTGGAAGATTGCAGTTGTTTTCTAATTGACTGCATCTTCCCCTGTTCTCTAGCAGTTTACTTTCTAGAGAGGAAATATCTTTTAATTTTTTTTAGAAACGAGGGTCTTGCTATGTTGCCCAAGCTGTTCTCTTAACTCCTGGGCTCAAGTGATCCTCCCACCTCGTCCTCCCAACGTGCTGGGATTACAGACATAAGCCACCACACCCGGCCTAATGATCTTATTAAAATATAAATAATATCAGGGCCGGGTGCGGTGATTCACACCTGTAATCCCAGCACTTTGGGAGGCCTAGGTGGGTGGATCACTTGAAGTCAGGAGTTCAAGACCATCCTGGCCACCATGGCAAAACCCTGTCTCTACTAAAAATACAAAAATTAGCTGGGCATGGTGGTACACGCCTGTAATCCCAGTTACTCAGGAGGCTGAGGCAGGAGAATCACTTGAACCCAGGAGGCTGAGGTTGCAGTGAGCCAAGGTCACGCCACTGCGCTCCAGCCTGGGCAACAGAGCGAGACTCCATCTCAAGAAATAAAATAAATAAAATAAAACCATATGTCACCTCTCAATAGCTTCTCATATCAGAGTAAAAGCTAAAATACTTATAATGGCCTACAAGAGAGTTGAAAGGGATAACGTCCGAAATGAAAAATTCAATGGATGGACTTACACTGAACTTAAAGACACGGTAATACTAATTACCCAGAGTGGAGCACCGAGAGGAAAATGACTGAAAACGAACTGAGCCTCTGGGACCTGTGGGATAATGTCAGGCAGTCTAACAGACGAGAGGGAGAAAAAATATTTAAGAAACATTTTTTCCCAACTTTTCAAAGAAATTTTTACATATTCATTAAAAACTATAAACCTACAAATACTTATAAACACAACAAACTGTATGCCAGGATAAACAAAGAGAAAACTATACCAAGGCACATCAGAATCAAATTGCTGAAAATCAGTGATGAATAAAACATTTAAAAAGCAGCTAGAGAAAAAAAAAAAAGACATATTACATACCTGAACCCAAGAGTTCAAGAACAGCCTGGGCAACAAAGTGAGACCCTGTCTCTACAAAAGATTTAAAAATTAGAGCTGGGCATGGTGGCTCATGCCTGTAATCCCAGCACTTTGGGAGGCCGAGGCAGGCGGATCACGAGGTCGGGAGATCGAGACCATCCTGGCTAACACGGTGAAACCCCGTCTCTACTAAAAATACAAAAAAGTTGGCCAGCCTTGGTGGCGGGCACCTGTAGTCCCAGTTAATCAGGAGGCTGAGGCAGGAGAATGGCGTGAACCCGGGAGGTAGAGCTTGCAGTGAACAGAGATTGCACCACTGCACTCCAGCCTGGGCGACAGAGCAAGACTCCATCTCAAAAATAAATAAATAAATAAATAAATATTAGCCGGGTGTGGGGGTACACACCTGTAGCCCCAGCTACTCTGGAGACTGAGGCAGGAGGATTGCTTCAGCCCAGGAGGTTGAGGCTGCATTGATCCATGATTGCACCATGGCACTCCAGCCTGGGTGACAGAGCAAGACCCTGCCTAAAAAAAAGACATGTTACGTACCAGGAAACAAAGATAAGAACAACTGTTGATTTCTCTCTCTCTTTTTTTTTTTTTAACTGTTGATTTCTCATTAACCCTTTTCCCATTTAGAAAAAAAGTACGGCTCGCTGCCAGTGCTCCTTTAATTTTACATAAACACGCTCTTTAAGGCTGAAGCAAAGCTGACTGATTTTCAATGTGAAAATAAAATACACAAACTGTTTTTGTAGTTATTTCTAAACAGAACTAACATCAGAATCATCTGAGTCATCAGAATCATCTATTTCGGAAAAAATTGATTCATTAAATGAATCTTCAGCCAGCCGTTTGAGAACGATGTTAATAATTAACATCAGCCAGGCATGGTGGCTCACACCTGTAATCCCAGCACTTTGGGAGGCAGAGGTGGGTGGATCACAAGGTCAAGAGATCGAGACCATCCTGGCCAACATGGTGAAACCTCATCTCTACTAAAAATACAAAAAATTAGCTGAGCATGGTGGCGTGCACCTGTAGTTCCAGCTACTTGGGAGGCTGAGGCAGGAGGATGGCTTGAACCCGGGAGGCAGAGGTTGCAGTGAGCTGAGATCACGCCACTGCACTCTAGCCTGGTGACAGAGTAATACTCTGTCTCAAAAAATAATAATAATAATTAACATCATGCACAGGAATGCTACGCTTTCTAAGCTTTGGCATTTTCAGCAATCAAGAATTACAGTATTTTGTAAATGGAAATACCACTACTAAGAATAGAATGCTATAAATAGAATGATGTCTTTTCTTTCCAAAGTCCGTGTACTAGAGTGATGAGAGAATAATAATAAAAGCGAGATATTTCATGGGAAAGTTATCTCAGGGTAAATGCTGTATCTGCAAGCGCTGCCAGTGAGTATTCTCGGGACAAATGGGAAAAGGATTAAAAGCAATGCAAGCCAGAAGAAAATGGAACGGTACCTTGAAAGCACTGAGAGGACTTATTTTTCTTCATTCTAAAATATACAGATTTTCTAGCTTTTTCCACTGAGAAGGCCTAGAATCGGTGAGCCTAGAACAGTGGGCACCCTAGCATCCTGACTGCAGTCTCTAAATACTCTTTGCCAGTAAACGGAACGAGGGATCCTTAGAAGGATGGTTCATTCCAAGTCTGGGACAGGATATATAACAAACAAAACTACAGGGCCAGGCACAGTGGCTCACACCTGTATTCTCAGCACACTGGGAGGCCAAGGTGGGTGGATCACCTGAGGTCAGGAGTTCGAGACCATCCTGGCCAACATGGTGAAACCCCGTCTCTACTAAAAATACAAAAATTAGCTGGGCGTGGTGGCGCACGCCTATAATCCCAGCTACACAGGAGACTGAGGCAGGAGAATCACTTGAACTTGGGAGGCGGAGGTTTCAGTGAGCTGAGATTGCACCACTGCACTCCAGCCTGGGTGACAGAGTGATACTCCGTCTCAAAAAAAGAAAAAAAAGAAAAAAAACTAGAGCATTTTATTGTGCTAGAAAGCAGGAAAGCTAATAAGGTCTAATGGTTATATCAAAAGAACACAAGAGCCTATTACAGGAGCTCCCACTGGCCAAAGGTAGGAGAGTTTGAGCTTCAGAAAGGTGACTGGGGCCGGGCGCAGTGGCTCACACCTGTAATCCCAGCACTTTGAGAAGCTGAGGCAGGGAGATCACTTGAGGTCAGGAGTTCAAGACCAGCCTGGCCAACAGAGGCGAAAACCCGTCTCTACTAAAAATACAAAAATTAGCTGGTGGTGCACGCCTGTAATCCCAGCTACTTGGGAGGCTGAGACAGGAGAATCGCTTGAACCCAGGAGGCAGAGGTTGCAGTGACCCGAGATCATGCCATTGCACTCTAGCCTGGGAGACAAAGCGAGACTCTGTCTCAAAAAAACAAAAAAACAAAAACAAAAAAAAACCCAGAAATGTATCAGTCACATACAAACATAAAAGAAACCTACCAGCCATTTGCAAAGTGGGGACTTTGTTTGGATCTTGACTTTAATTGTAAATGGACATTTTTTAAGATTTGAGGAAATTGGCAGATGGACTGGGATACTAAAATATTTTTGTCTGTGTTTTTAGGTGTGATAATGGTGTTAGGTTGTGTGAAATGTTTTTACTATCTGATAGATGTACAGGCTCAAGTATTCCCAGGTGAAATAATTGCCTGGGGTTTGCTTTTAGCCACTCGTCCCTGCACAAAATGTTGGAGGAATGAAAATTCGATTAGATAACATTGACAAAATGTTGACATTCATTCAAGTTTTGCTATGGGTACCTGAGGGGTAGTCATTAGATTACTCTATTTTATGCAAGTTTTAATATTTCTGTAGTAAAAAGTTAGAAGACCATGTGCTTAAGGACCTTTCATGTATCTATAAGAGAGAGCCTCACTCAGAGTATATAGTGTTGCCTTATAATTAGGCGCAGTTCTAATGAGTTTGGGATGGGTACCAGTTTTATGGGAGAAATAGACTGATGCTAAAGGCAGTATCCTTATAGAAATAAAAATGTTTAACTGGCAACATGAAGTAACACTGAAAATTCTTAGATGTACACAAAAGCTTATAAAAGCATAGCGCTAGGGGGTCATGTAGTGATATTTAGTAGATTGGCTGTGCCTCAGTTGTCTTGCCAGAAGGCATCTTCTAAAAAGTGCATCATCACAGAGCGCAGCACCCGAACAAAAGTGGTACATGCGGCTCCCCTGCCGACTCAACAGGTTCTTCCCAAGGGCTGTCATGTCAGTGGGCCAGCGCCACTCCTGAAGGACTGCTTTTGTTTAAAGGATTTGAGAGATGGATTCCTGAGGATCTAACACCATATTCCATTATGCATTGTGGGTTTTTTATTGTTTTCCTTATCATGATTTATTATTTTTTAAATTTTTCTTTGAAGTTTGCTCATTTTAATCCATGTTCATTTCTCCCTCTGTATGTGTTTGTGTCACGCTTGCTGTCTTTGCCTCCATTGTTCCTAGGTTACAGTATAGCCAGGATATACCCAGTCACTTGGCCGATGAGCATGCGCTGATAGCCTCCTATGTGGCCCGTCTGCAGCACTGTGCACGGTCAGTGGTGGTGCAGCAGCAGTGGGTAGCCACGGGTGATCAGAGGGAGGGAGAGCTTTGCTACCTGGGGTTGTCAGCTGGAAAAAAAACTGCATGTCAGGTTTTTCTTGAGCAGCTACCAGCTATGTTTGGCAGAGTTAAAATAGTTGCTAAGCATTAGCTTCTACAAGAGAGGGAGGCTTGCCAAGCCTGGGCGCTGACCTAAACATGGAGTCAGACATTCTCCTTTAAAGTGGGGTTCACTTCCTTCAGCTTACACTCAAAAAATATATAAACCTATGAGGGATCGCAGTACTCACAGAGGTATCTGATGCAACCTCTTCCTGTTCATTCTTACCTAACTAATGAAATCTTTCTATTGACATTCCAAGTTTAGAGTTGATCAACCCACAGATATCCCACTTTGTCTTATCTGGGGACTTTGATACTGTCACCCTATTACATCTTTACCACCCTTTATCTGTTAGCAGGAATCTGTCAGTGTTGATTATTTAAACCGGTGATTCCCAACAATGGTATTGGGTCACTGTCACCTGAGGGTCTTTTTCCAAATTATGTAGACCCTCTCATATTATAATAGTTACATGTATTATAATAGCTCCACATTCCCCTTACCCTGAAAACTACTGCGGTAGTGACTCACTGTTAATAAGAGAATGTGTCTGATTCTTCAGTGGTTTGGGATGGAAAAACGTTTGATAACTGCTAACTATAGCAAAGTTAATCCTTTTTTTAAAAGATTTAATACCGAAAAAAGTGGTATTACTTTCAGGTAGGTCCAAAGTCTCCTGCTCACTCCATGCCCACACCCACCACCATTCTTCAAGTAGGATGACAGGTAAAGTTTAAGCAATCTAAAGCCATCCTTCCCCTACATAACAGCAAAGAAGAATCACAGTGCCAAACAACTTGGAAAGCCATGCTTTGAGATTCTTGTTCTTAGAGAGAAAACCATAATTTATAAGCTGTACACATAACAGAGGCTGAAGCTTTAAATTTTGATCTTAGTTTTGCTTATAGCATGCCATGGCTCCTTGGGAGGGTCATCTGACCTTGCTGCTACTTCCCCTAATAACAGAAGAATAAATTAATAGTCAGTTGGGAAATATACATATGAAAAAGACTTTTAAATATTATACTTTATACCGTTTTCCATAGTTTTCCTGATATGACTAAATAGCATCACTATTCTGGGGTATTTATGTATCTCTAAAGCTTGGAGAAGTAGAGTTTTCTTTTCTTTTTTTTTTTTTTTGAGACAGAGTCTCACTGTGTCGTCCAGGTTGGAGCGCAGTGGTGCCATCTCAGCTCACTGCAAGCTCTGCCTCCCGGCTTCATGCCATTCTCCTGCCTCAACCTCCCGAGTAGCTGGGACCACAGGCGCTCATCACCACACCCAGCTAATTTTTTTGTATATTTTTAGTAGAGACGGGGTCTCACTGTGTTAGCCAGGATGGTCCCGATCTCCTGACCTCGTGATCCGCCGGCCTCAGCCTCCCAAAGTGCTGGGATTACAGGCATGAGCCACTACGCCCGGCTGAGAAGTAGGGTTTTCTAAGCTTCTAAATATGTTTAATAGGCTTACCCTCTAGGAGGGAAGGAAGGGCCTGATAATTGTGTGCACTGCATCACAGAGTGTCTCCTCATCCAACAGATGATTTCTTTGCACACTGTCCCAGCCTCTTGGTCTCTAGGAACAGAGTTGTTTCACCCTAGGCAAGACAAATTCTTTATTATCACTAAAGGCAATTGTCCAGAGTGAGCAAAAGTTTCCATGGTAAAAATAGCAGCAGAATGTTTGACAAGAGACTGTTACCTAGTAATTTAGCCCAATAAGATTTATGGTAGGTTTAGCTAAGGCCCTGAAGTCTCACCTTGGCTCCCTGAACAAAAATTGGTGGCTGGTAGCCCTGGGAGAACATGATGAGTGAGTGAGTACTACATGACTTCTTGATTAGTAATCTAAGAAGCTGAGCTTCATACTTCTTCCGAGAAGTCAGAACTTTTCTGGCTAACTAATTCTGAAAATGAAAGTCAATTCAAACAGAAGAATAAGGATCCTTTCTAATCATTGACCTTAAAACCTCTCATCAACACAAGCTTCTAGTTTCTGGCTAGAAAACATAGCCAATTAAAGCAGTCTGTCATCCACACTCATGTATAAATGACAAATAGGATCAACCTTCCTAAGGAGATAGAATGTGATTGAGAAAAAGGAGCTCTTTTGCACAGAAGAACCTATTGTATCCCTTGCCAGATAACAGAGGTCAGCCACTTTAGGCCCCACTTCTTCGGCTACCAATCCCTCCATAATATGATCCACTTGTATCGTTAAGCATTCATTTTTATTGTTTTTTTTTTAATTTAAAAGATAGTTCTCTTATTTCAGACAAATACCTTTAAAGCACAAATATTATAGTTTATCTCTCACCTTGGGGCCTTGACCCTAAAATATTAAAGCCGCCTAATAGTAGTCTGTTCTTATTACAAGATCATTTTTGAGAGGGTGATCATCCTGAAGATGGATATTTGCATGCTTAAAATTATAAAGTGTTGACAAATGTCATAGGCGAAGACTCGAAGCACTTAAAAAAAAATCCCAGAAGAAAGACTAAGTTAAGCTTAAAGACTTAGCCAAAGAGATAGAAAGATTAAAAAAAAAAAAACTAGAAAAAATATAGTTGATTCTACACATGAAAAGTTCAGACAGGTCTTTATTGATTTAGCCACACCCTTCCCAGATTCCCCTCAGTAATTATAACAAACTTCGATGAGTATTGAAGTCATGTCTTTAAATTTTTCTGTATGACTTGTCATACTGCCAAACTCTGATCAAGGGTTTTTGGAAACCCAAGAACATAGGGCCAAAGTGGAGGTAAGCCACAACAGCCACCTCTGGTCATTTAGTCAACATCATCACTGTCGTCTTAAAGCATCTGCCAGTCCTAAACAGAGAATTATATAGCCACAGTCCCTATTAATCTAGGACTGTCTTGATAAGGATAAATAGCATTTGGTATACTAAAGAAGTCATGTATTTCAGAATCAGAAGTTCCATATCAGCATCCCATATGCAGAGCCAGCCTATTACTCAAGAACCCTTCCCTCATCCAGATACCACATTGTCTGATAGCCTGTCTGAATGGGTCCTTAGATTTTTAGAGTATTGGTACTCTTGTTGAAAAGTAATGCATTAAACTAATTAACTCCAAGATGGGGCTATAGATGTAGAATGAGCATAGTAAAGGAAGAGAAAGGGGCATGAAAAGGGGAATATTTGATGTCATGGAATCTTTCCAGCTTTACAGTGTGTTTGGCCTGCCCTGGCAAGGCCAAACTTTTGCTTAGCCAGTGTTAAGTATATTTTTTCTCAGCCCTCTGTTTTTCATGATGCTTTAGTTTTCTCTTGGTCTTTTTGAATTTGAGATCAAGGTCTAAAAAGTCATCAGTTTTAAACATTTGGTTAGAAATCCCTGCCTCAGACTTTGTGGGTGCCCTGTGTTTTCTCAGGCCTTGCATTCAAAATGAAGTGCCCCTTTGATGGTGGAGGAGCAGCGGGGATGTGCTGCCAGTGAGGAATGACAAATGTGGCCTCCTCATTTCTCTAAATCCCCTTTTTTTCAGAAGACCATTAGTATCTATGACCCAGGCCTCTAGTTCTTTTATTACCATTCTTTTATGAGCTTTTCTTCCATCTGTTCTTTCTGAGAATGGAACAAGAATAAGGGATGTTTAATAGACACTTGTTGCATTTTTATTTCCTTGGCAGTGTTCTGGACAGTCCTAGCCGACTGGATGAGGAACACCGTCTTATAGCTCGCTATGCTGCCCGGCTGGCTGCAGAAGCAGGAAACGTGGTAAGTTAATGGAGGATCCCAGGAGAGTAGCAGAAATTAGCATTACTTTAATATGCAAATGGAAAGGGAATAGTAGACATGAAATTTAGGAGAACAGGTACCTCGGGGACACTTTCCACTTTTCCACATGCTAAGAGTAGAAGGAAACTTCCTCACCCTGATAAAGAACACCTACAAAAACCTACAGTTAAGATCACACCTACAGTTTAAATTTTGAAATATTTCCCCCTAATATTGGGAACAATTCAGAGATATCCACTTTCACCACCTCTATTCTAAATTATACTGGAGGACCTAATTAATGCAACAAGACAAGAAGAAAGGGGTATAAATATTGGAAAGACAGAAGTAAAGCAGTCTTTATTTGAAGATGACATGATTGTGCATATGAAGTCCTAAGAAATCTAAAAAAACACTAGTAGAACAGATAAGTAAATTTTATAGTATTGCTACAAGATATAAAGTGTATATCCCAGCACCTTGGGAGGCTGAGGCGGGCAGATCACTTGAGCTCAGGAGTTTGAGACCACCCTCTGGCAGCATAGTGAAATGCTGTCTCTATAAAAAATACAAAAATTAGCCAGGTGTGGTAGCACGCACCTGTAGTCCCAGATGCTGGGAAGGCTGAGGTGGGAAGATTAGTTGAGCCCGGGGAGGTCAAGGCTGCAGTGAGCCATGATTGTTCCACTGCACTCCAGCCTGGGCAACAGAGCAAGACCCTGTCTCACAAAAAGAAAAATACTATTTACTGTAGCATTAAAAATACCAAATACTTATGGATAAATTTAATGGAAGATGTTCAAGTCTGAAAACTGTAAAACATTGCTAAAAGAAATTAAAGAAAACCTAAATAAATGAAGAGGTATGCCATATTGATGGATTAAAAGATTTAATATTGTTAGGATGGCAGATTTTCCTAAATTGATCTATAGATTTAATACCAATTCAAATCTCAACAGGCTTTTTTATAGAAATTAGCAAACTGTTTTTAAAATGTATTTGGAGAACCAAAGGACCTAGAATAACCATAACAGTCTTGAAAAAGAAAAACAAAGTTGGCAGACTTAATCCTACTTGACATTAAGACTTACTATAAAGCTATAGTAATCAAGAAAGTAAGATACTGGCAAAAGGATGAACAAATAAATCAAAGGAACAGAATAGAGTATCCATAAAAGACACTCATGTGTAAGGTCAAATGACTTTCAACAAAGGTAAGAAGCAAATCAGTCAGAAAAGGAAACTCTTTCTATTTTTAACAAATGCTGTTGGAACAACTGGATATCTACACAGGGAAGAAAAGAATCTCAACCCCTGCCTCATACCATACAAATAAATCAATTTGAAATGTATCATAAACTTAAACATAAAAGCTAAAACCATAAAGCTACTAAAAGTATAGGAGAATAATTCTTCATTCTCTTAGGAAGAATAAAAATTCATTAGAGTTTATAGGGATCACAAACCATTTTAAAAATTGATAAATTAGACCCTATCAAATGTAAAATCTTTTGCTCATTAGAAGATACTATTCAAGGCAGGCGGGTCACAAGGTCAGGAGATCGAGACTATCCTGGCTAACACGGTGAAACCCCATATCTACTAAAAATACAAAAAATTAGCCGGGCGTGGCAGTGTGCGCCTGTAGTCCCAGCTACTTGGGAGGCTAAGGCAGGAGGATGGCATGAACCTGGGAGGTGGAGCTTGCAGTGAGCCAAGATCACGCCACTGTACTCCACCCTGGGTGACAGAGCGAGACTCTGTCAAAAAAAAAAAAAAGAAAAAGAAAAACAGACAAACCACTATCTGAAAGAAAATATTTGCAAAACATGTCTGACAAAGGACAGAATATATAAAGAATTCCTGCACCTCAGCAATAAAAAGACAAGCCTTTTTTAAAAAATGAGCAAAAGACTTGAACAGATATTCCACAAAGAAGATATGCCAGTGGCCAATAAGCACATGAAAATGTGCTTGATATCATTAATCATCAGGAAAATGCCAATGATACCACTGTATACCCACCAGAATGGCTACAATGAAAAAGTTGGATGATACCAAATGTTGGAGAGGATGTGGAGCAACCAGAAATCTCACCCTGTTGTTGGCGGGCCTATAAAATCATACAGCTACTTTGGAAAACTATTTGGCAGTTTCTTAAAGAAGCAAAATTTATACTATGACCCAGCAATTCTACTCTTAGATATTTATCCAAGAGAAATGAAAACATGTTCACAAAAAGCGTTGTACAAGAATGTTCATAGCAGTTCAATTCATAATAGCTGGAATAGCCCACGTAGTTATCAACAGAATAGATAAACAAGATGTGTTATATTCATACAATAGAATTGTCTCAACACAAAAAGGAATAACATTGATACATGCAACGACATTGGTGAATATCAAAAATATTATGAGTAGTAAAAGAAGCCAGACAAAAAAAGTACGTACTGTTTTTTTCTATGTGAAATTCTAGAATAGGCAAACTAACTTATCCTTTGCCATAAGTTAATCATCAACTCCTAATCATAATCAGATAAGAGGCTGTTTCTAGAAATGGAAATATTGAAGAGAGACGAGGAAACTTTCTGACTTGATAGAAATATTCCACATTTCAATAGGGGTGTGGGTTGCAGGAGTGTACATTTGTCAAAACGGATTAAATGAAATACTTTTTTTTTTTTTTTTTTTTGAGATGGAATCTTGCTCTGTCGCCCAGGTTGGAGTGCAATGTGGCACGATCTCAGCTCACTGCAAGCTCTGCCTCCTGGGTTCACACCATTCTCCTGCCTCAGCCTCCTGAGTAGCTGGGACTACAGGTGCCCGCCACCACGCCCGGCTAATTTTTTGTATTTTTAGTAGAGATGGGGTTTCACCGTGTTAGCCAGGATGGTCTCGATCTCCTGACCTCATGATCCGCCTGCCTCGGCCTCCCAAAGTGCTGGGATTACAGGCGTGAGCCACCGCGCCCGTCAATGGAATACTTAAGATCTAAGTATTATATCTCAATTAAAACAAAAAGGAACCAAGAATGTTGAATAAGGGTTTGATTGAAATAGGAAGTGGCTCCCCAGGGATTTGCAGTGTGTTTCCTGCAATTTTGAAATATTCATAATAAAATGTTTTCTCTTTTCCTTCTCCTTTTTCAATTCTTTACTTTCTTTGAGGAGTTATGTTCACATTAATATTCACCCACCCCCAACCAGCCACACACACTCATTTTATTCATTCAGCAAATACTTCTTTTGTTGCTGTACTGTGCCAGATTGGATACTATGGTGGACAAATGATTCCTGCCCTCATGGAACTAACAGTGTAGTGACAGAGACAAACATTAAACAAATAATCACACTACTAAACATAACTACAAATTATTATGTGCAGTGGAGGAAAAATGCAGGGAGCTGTGGAAGTGTAGAGCAGGTGCCTGATCTATTCTGGAGAGTAAGGGATAGCTTCTGTGAGAAAGTGTTACTTGAGTTGGGATCTGAAAATAAGTAGAAGAGAATTCAATTTCCTAGGAATTGAAAAGTAACTGAAAACCAAAGCAGGCCAAGAGCTACTGTTGCTGTCACTACTACTGCCACCCCTGCCCTGTGCTTGAATGTCAATTGTCAGGAATTTGTGTGGCAAAACCTCGGTTACGTGCAAAGTGAAGAGTTGGAAATGAGGTTCTCACATTAAGGTAGGCCCTTGAAGCATTATACCCTTGGTGAATATGTTGTATAAAAGATAACTAGGCCGGGCATGGTGGCTCACTCCTGTAATCCCAGGACTTTGGGAGGCCGAGGTGGGTGGATCACCTGAGGTAAGGAGTTCAAGACCAGCCTGGGCAACATGGTGAAACCCCGTCTCTACTAAAAATACAAAAAAAAATTAGCCAGGTGTGGTGGCATACGCCTGTAATCCCAGCTTCTTGGGAAACTGAGGCAGGAGAATCACTTGAGCCCAGGAGGCAGAGGTTGCAGTGAGCTGAGATCGCACCACTGTACTCCAGCCTGGGCAACAGAGCAAGACTCTTGTCTCAAAAAAAAAAAAAAAAAAAAAAGATAACTAGCTGCCAGCACACAGAAAAAGAAAGCTTATAGGTCTCCTGTTGCAGTGGAAGAAGTCGTCTCCTCTGGAAATTCAAAACCTTAGGCCTGTCTATACTTACTTTGGGTACATTTACATTACGTTATAGTTTGAGAATCACCAAGGTGAAATTTTAACATTAAAACTAACCCCAAGGCACCTGGTAGAAGCAGCACAGTATAAATTTCTGCTTACATTCTCAATTGAGACCTAACAGTGCTCCCACTGAAAGAGTCCAACTAAACTTGAACCCCTGTGCTGACTTTGCAAAATGAGACCCTCAATGGCTTTAGATATTAGAGTTATTGGCTATAAAATAGCTATGTTTAAGATTTCTAAAGACCTAAAAGAAGGAATTAAAAACCTGACAAAATACTGTCTTAAAAGAACAAAGTTGAAAACAAATCACATAGAAATTACAGATTTTTAAAACAAAAGTTATTGAAATTTAAAACTTGGTGGATGGGTTAAATGTCAGATTAGACACATGAATAGAGAATTAGTGAACTAGAAAATATATTTAAGAAAATTTTCCAAAACACAACACAGAAAGATGAAAAATCTGAAACAAGGTCTTCAGATATGGGAGATAGAGAACCAACAGTCATGTAACTGGAATTCCAAAAAAGAAAATAGAATTAGGGTTAAAAAATGTTTGAAGAATTAATGGCTAAGTTTCCAAAATGTGTTCAAGACATTCATTCTCAGATGAATATATCGCAATGAGTCCCCAGATACATAAATAAAAATAATTCTACAACTAGACATATCATAGTGAAACTACAGAATACAAAGATAGAATCCTCAGAAAGCAAACACATAAGACGTTACTTTATCTACAAGGGATTCACTACTAGATTTCTCCCCAGAAACAATACAACAATTTATAAAGGAAAAAAAAAATCCCTTTAAAAACAAAGCCAGATACAGTGGCTCACACCTGTAATCCCAGCACTTTGGGAGGCCAAGGTGGGCAGATTGCTTGAGCCCAGGAGTTCAAGACCAGTCTCAGCAACATAGTGAGACCTCGTCTCTACTAAAAGATGAAAAGTTAGAAAAAAAAAACAAAAATAGCCAGGTGTGGTGGCATGTGCCTGTAGTCACAGCTGCTTGGGAGGCTGACGTGGGAGAATTGCTTGAGCCCAGAAGTTCAAGGTTGCAGTGAACTGTGATCATGCCACTACACTCCAGGCTGGGCAACACAGCAAGACCCTGTCTCAAAAATTAAATAAAACAGTCGATTACATCCAATGTTACCAGTGTTTGTGAAAAAACCTTAAGAATTTTCCTTATAAAAACAGACGGTTGAATAGTATACCAAAAGGAACTAGATGAACTGTCAAAAGGAGAAATAAAGACCCTTTCTCACAAGGACAGAGAGGTCACAGTAAGATTCATCCTAAAAGAGTAATACTAATAGCTAGTATTTATTGAATATTTACTTTGTGCCAGTCATTATTCTAAGTGCTTTGCATGTATTAGCTAGTTTATTATTCAAAACGTTCTTGTTGAGGAAACTAAGCTTCAGAGAGATTAAAAAAAAAAAAAAAAAACTACCCAGGGTCACATGGTGTGCTAAGTGGCCAAGCTGGGACAGGGATACTGTCCTGTCTCCTAACTACTAAGATTTAACTACCGGAGGTTATAATTCGGGAGATAAGGAATTAAACCTAGATGCAAAGAGTGAGATGGAAGGAGGAATGAGCTGAAGCCAAAACAACAGAGTGTCCAAGCATTAACCAGGTAAAGAGAATGAAGTGTATGCCCAGCGGGGTATTTCAGCATATGTAAAGGCCCTGAGGCTGGAGGTCGCATGACCTGAAAGTTGACATTGTGGCTAGAATGCAGAGAACAATGCTGGAATGAAGTCAGACAGGCGGGCTCATGCAGGACCATATTAAACAAACCAGTACGTCCATTTTGGAAATGCGTACCAATTTATGTTTTATCTTCATAGGGAAATAGAGTTACGAAAGCTGCAAATGGGAATTCTTGCTTTGTTTCTCCCCCAAAAAGTAACTTATCCCTTTGAGTTTGTTTAGATTTCAAAATCCTTTCCTTGAAAATCTAATGTCAGCTCACGTATCTGACTCTAACATTACAACTCTAAAGGTTAGTTAGTGAAATGGAACAGAATAGAAGAAAAAGCCTGAGAAAGAAACAGAAAAGTGCTATTTGGTTAGTTAAACCTCAGACATGCCCTCAGTCAGTCACAACTGCTCTAGGTATTTTAGACATTAAAATGTATAAATAAACTTGTTGAGATGGGCCGTGCTATGGTTGGATTTTAAAAATTAAGTATATTTTATGCCGTTATATAGTCTTACTGAGTTTACATAGTACTTTTAAAATGTTGTCAATAAAAGCTCCAAAGCCATTTGACCTTGAAAAGATTTCAGTACTCCCTTACTGCAAACAAGATAAGTCTCTTTACACCTGATAGTTTCTGATGCCAATTCTTTAATTCTTCTGGAAATGATCGTTGTTAGAATGAATACTGATATGTTTGGGCCCTTTCATCTTGGGTTTATTTTGCAGAGTGTAGTTATCTTATAACTATTGAGCCACTCAGGAAGGATTCTTCTTGACTAGAGTTCTGTTATACAGAAACTCCTAATCCTCTAATCTCACATTGATACAAGTGCTTTGCATAAAGTGGGTGTAGTGCTCGAAAGAATTTATTTATAACCTGCCAGATAGGTTTGTATTGATTTTTTTCAAAGACCTTCTTCCACATTGTTAAATAATTTGAGCAGCCAGCAGTGCGCCCTGTAGCATGCTTCAGCGTCCGTGCCATAACTTCTCCCTAGATGGGGAGCGGGGCTGCAGAAACCTCTGTGGGCTGACCTTTGAAGAAAGACATTTCACGTTGCTTATATGAGCCAGGAGAGAGAATTTGTTTTCCTGAAGTGCCTACATTTCTTTTTTTTTTTTTTTTTGAGATGGAGTCTCACTCTGTTGCCCAGGCTGGAGTGCAGTGGCCCAATCTCGGCTTACTGCAACCTCCTCCTCCCAGGTTCAAGAAATTCTCCTGCCTCAGCTTCCTCCCAAGTAGCTGGGATTACAGGCACCTGCCACCACACCCGGCTAATTTTTTGTATGTTTTTAATAGAGACAGGGTTTCACCATGTTGGCCAGGCTGGTCTTGAACTCCTGACGTCAGGTGATCCACCTGCCTCAGCCTCCCAAAGTGCTGGGATTACAGGTGTGAGCCACCGCGCCCGGTCCTAAATTCCTTTTTTAAAAACAAAACTATAATGTGTGGTAAATTGTAGTCGTAATAGCAAATTCTTAAAGTGTCATCACAAACGTCACCAAGATGTAATCAGATGTTTTGTTTACCTTTAAGGGTTTTTTTTCCCTTATAAAAAAATTTAAAATTCATTATGGAAAACTTGGAAGAAAGGTGAAAGAAAGGGGAAACTATCACCCATTGTCATGCTACCTCACACTTAAAATATTTCTGAGCAGCTTTCTTTCAGATCCCAGGCTGCACAGCCCCCATCTCCTTGTCAGCTGCTCCAGGCATGCAGCATTCAGAAATACCCTCATGGCCCATTATAATTAAAGATCGACAGTCTCCTATGATGTTTCGCACACATGTAATGGCTCCAAACCTCCCTACATGTTGTAATCATGTATGAAGTATTTTAAAAATATATAGATCCTTGGCTTTGCCTCAGACCTTCTGAATCAGAATCTCTGGATTTAGGGCCCATCCATTTTTATTGGAAAAAAGAAAACTCCCAGCCTTCTGATTTACGGTGAGCTTGGGAATCACTGCCTTCAACAGCAGATTGGATTTTTGAGAGAGGGTGACAATCCACAGCCCTCTGGGTAGTCTAGGGCAGCTTAGGTGATGGGCAGGCTGCCCCTGGAATATAAAGAAAGCCTAGCTGATACCAGGTGCATCTCTTTGGAACTCATCTTGCCACATTCATACAGATAGGAGTCTCCGAGCTCTTTTTAGGAGGCTCCAGAAATGCATGCTACTGGATTACCGTTTGCTGACTGTGTCGGCATCCCTTGGTTTTATAACATTTGCCCAGTTTGACTCAAAGGGGTCTTATTTATTATCCTGTATTTTTCAGATGTGTCTCCTCTCATTAAGATGATGGAGCTCTGTGAGTCCACCTGAACCTGAGAGAATGCTCCTGTGACAGGAAGTTAGAGGCACCTTGTCCTTCCAAGGACTAAAGGGACCTCAACACCTTATTTGCATGTAATAGTAAATGGATCCCAGTCTGGAGCCTTCATTCTTAAATACAGAGCTTTAACTTTTATAATATGATCCTCTGATCCCTTTTTTGCCTTTCATTGCTCTGGCCTTAACGCCTCCATCCATTCAACCTAACAGTTGCATTCATTGTTAGGTCTTTGATTATTGTTTAATTTTTAGATGATCTCTCACCTTTTGTCTCCTAAACTCATTCAGCTTATATGTTTGTGGCATTTGAGAAGTCTTTTTCCTCCAGATGTTACCCTGCCTGACTGCTTTGACCTAATAACAGAATGAGAAATAACAGCTACCATTTCGAGAGCCATCTGTATTTATAACCCTGTGCTGGATATTTTAGAACTATTACCTCTGGTTCTAACAGCAACTCTGAAGGATAGTTGATTCCCAATGTGACTTTACAAAAAAGGAAACCGAGGCAGAACAAGGTTAAATCATCTTGCCCAAGGTTCCTCAGCTAGATTTGAGATTCAAACACAGGGTTATGTGACTTTAGTTGTGAATGTGGTACCCTTTAAATACCCTTCTGGGATCACTTTCCATTCTTACAGTCAGATATACACTACCAGTGTTTTTTACTTACATAACCAATGTTTTTGGTATTTGGTGCTAAGTAAATTGGTTTTTTTCTTAAAACAACAAAAATGTGCAGGAGTTGTTCTACAATGACCCAGTTCTGTCTGTTTTGACAAGAACTCTGATTCTTAGAGCAGCGCATCGACCTTGGATGCACATTGAAATCACCCGAGAAGTTTTTGAAACTACTGCTGCCTAAGCCCAGTTCCAGACATCAATTTAATTGGTCTTGGATGATACAACCTGAGCACTGGGGGTTTAAAAATCCCTCTAGGTGACTGGAGTGCATGGCCAAGTTTGATAACCACTGACCAAGAGAAACGTTTCTGGACTAGGGATAAGCCAGAGTCACCTGCCATGTTAGATGTGACCCTTAGTTGAAAACCATTAGTTTTGGATAGAGTGCACAAGGCAATAATTTTAGTTTCTCTGTTAATCTATCAGATTCCTCTCTGTAATCTGCCTCTTGGCAAAGGACCAGTACTTTACTCTTTCAGGCCATGTTTTGCACTTTATTAGGCCCTAATTAGCTCAACGTTGAACTAGAAAAGACTAGATGTTGTTGACACTTTAGGCGAACTTGCCAAATATGAGCCAAATCTCTGGGCTTATTAAAAGTTCAAAAATCTGAACCCTGAAGTTTTCTTGTTTTTTGAAACCTGTTTGGTCTGGAATAAGTTAAGAGGAAAAAAAAAATCTGTTTAGGGAAAAGTTGAAAAGGTGCATGTCATCATCTTCCTAGCCAGAATGCAGATTAAATACCATCTCTATCCTAACTTTCTAGGAAACCTTCTTTTCATTTCACAACTTAGGAATGCCTATGATGCCTGAGTGTCTTTGAAAAAAAAAATTTCTGGTTCTTCCTTAGGATTCAGGTTTCCCTGATTGAAAACAACCCTGGCTTTGAATTTGATACAGATTTGGAACTTTTCAGTTTGTAAGTTTTTGTTAAGACCCTGTTAAGTGTTTTGTTTATTACTTCAGAGGTGATCAAGAAACTTCTTGAAAGAGCAAATTCTGCTTAATGGCATGAGAGCTCCATGAAGGAATTTATTAGATACACCCTGATTCTCCACTGCCCTAACACACGATACTGAGTTGCTAATGTCCACATTCAGCACCAGGGGAAATTCGTGCATCACATGACATCGCCTCATTAAAGCTGTCAGCATAACTTTACCAAACAAGTTATATAACAACCAAGAAGCCACTGGTACAGGATAATATTCAGAATGTGACATGTAAAAATTGCAATAAGTAGAATATATTTTTTATGTTGTTGAACAAAAGAAAATTGAAAGAATTAAAGCAATCCAAGGGCCTAGAAGCAAGTGAATTCTCTGATACCTGTGAGTAAGGCTACTTTAGGACAGCCCATGAATCCATTCCTCGGGTTGTTCTGAGCTCCTTGAGAAATGGCCCCAACTGGGTTTTTGGAGTGAACCTGGTTCAATACAGATTGCCTTAGGATGTTCACTGAAAGTTTCGGCTTGCTCTGGACTCCCAGAAAACGTTCAAAGAATCGGGTTGTTACACAGGTGGTTTCATTGTAAGGATGAAAGGAATAGGTTTGGGGAAGTAAATCACTGAGTTGAAGCTTCAGAGATGTCCTTCCACGTGAACCAGGAACCACTCAGGATCCAGGAATCAGTTTATTTGCCTTGAGGTCTTCTGGGTTGAAGCAAAGAGAGGGGAAAGGTAGGCCTGTAGGTGAATGACTTGGTACCCAGTAGGAGTCCTGTTACCTGTACCACAGGTTGGTCAGCAATCAAAAGCTGGCTTAAAATATTTCTGCAGATGTCTGCTGACGTCTGTAGGGGTGATTGTTTTCAAGAATTTGCATTAAAATACTTGAGAGAGAAATAAAATATGGGATAGATGAAGCAAATGTGTCAAAAATCTTTGTAACTGTTTAACCTAGTTTGAGTATATGGAAATACATTATTTTCTCTCCTTTTGCCTATGTTAAAAATACTGTTACTACATTTTTAAATAAGTTAAAATAGGGAACCACAAAAATGATACCTATATACTTGAACATTTCTCTGCATGTCCTCATGTATATTTGGATGTAGGACCAAGCCCATTCACTGAGTGTAGGTCCTCTGGAGCTCCAGGTTGTCTCCTTTGCACAAAATGTTCTCACATGTTGCAAGTTCAGCTTCCTTTTTCAGTCCTTTACAATGAAATGAGAACTTACTAACTTACGATGCAAGAGTACAAAATTTCTCTTTATAATTTTTCCAAATCTTTACAGCTGTCTTACCTTCAGCTAAGTCAGTGCCATTTTATTCTAGAAGCCCATCTCTATGGAGTCTCCAACTCATTCAACTTGGTTTTCCTAGAAATAGAAACCCTCTTTTCATCCTCGTATCTCACTGGTTTATTTGTTATTTAATTAGATGACATAATTGCAAGTGCATTTGTTCCAGTGAGGAACAGACGAGTCTTGTTAAGCACGCAAGCTGTGTTTTCCACAGGAAGCCGAGACCCTTCCAGTATACCTGCTATGCTCACTAAGTAGAGATCAATTAAGAGGCCTTCAGCTTTAGTTTTTTTTCTGGGCATCTTTTGCTCTAGATGCTACAACCCCCGAGTTGCTCACTGGACCTGGGAACTTCCTTGAGTTTTAGTGGTGTGAACATAATGCTTTGACTACCAAGATTCTAGAATTTTATTAAACCCCAGAACCATGTGTCCTCCTTATGAGTAAGCTTTGCAGTGTTTATCTTCAGTTTAAGAGTTCTGCCTTTGCTACTTGCTGGATTTACACATAAGAGGTGTATAATAAGTTTATTAGATACAATTTTATTTTGAGTTATAATTATCAGCATTTGTAGAGCATTGTGCTGCCTCCTACATTATATCATTAAATCCTCTCCACATCACTTTCACTAAATATTCCCATTTTATAGACAAGAAAATAAAGGTATAGTAAAATAACTCAATGTGGCACAGCCAGAAAGTAGCAAAGCTAGGATTACTAATTCGTCTCCCTACTTTCATTCCTCTCCTACTACACTAAATTCTCCACCGAGTAGCCAAAGCAATGTTTATTTTTTAAACCTTATTTTAAAAGTTTTAGATTTACAGAAAAATTTCAAAGATAGTACAGAGAGTTCTCTATAATCTACACCCAGTTTCCCCTATTATTATTTTGAGACGGGGTCTCACTCTGTCACTCAGACTGGAGTGCAGTGGTGTGATCTCAGCTCACTGCAGCCTCAACCTCCCAGGCTTAAGCAATCCTCCCACCTCAGCCCCCTAGTAGCTGGGACTACAGGCACGCGCCACCAAGCCTGGTTAATTTTTTTTGTATTTTTTGTAGAGTAGGGGTTTTGCCGTGTTGACCAGGCTGGTCTCGAACTCCTGGCCTCAAATGACCTCCCACCTCTGTCTCCCAGAGTGCTGGGATTACAGGAGTGAGCAACCCAGCCAAGTTTCCCCTGTTATTAACATCTTGAATTAGTATGGTACATTCATTGCAATTAGTGAAGCAATATTGATACATTATTATTAACTAAAGTCCATACTTTATTCATATTTTCTAAGTTTTTACCTAATGTCCTTCTTCTGTTCCATCCAGGATACATTACATTTAGTTGTCATGTCATCTTAGGCTCCTCTTAGCTGTGACAGTTTCTCTGACTTTCCTTGTTTTTGATGACCATGACAATTTTTAGGAGTACTAGTCAGATATAGACTGTCTAATAACTGTAATTTGTCCGATGTTTATCTCTTGATTAGAACTGGGGTTATGGGTTTGGGAAAGGAAAAGGTAAAGTGCCATTTTCATCATGGCGTATCAAGAGGTACCTACTATCAACATGAGTTGTCACTGTTGATGCTGACCTTGATCACCTGGCTGTGGCAGTGTTCGTCAGGTTTCTCCAACATAAAGTTATTCCTTTTCCTTTCCACACAGACTCTTCGGAAGGAAGTCACTATGCACAGGCTTCTCTTAAGGAATGGGGAGTTAGGCTTCACCTCCTTGAGGGCAGAGTATGTCCATACCTTATTTGGAATTCTTCTGTATGGGAAATTTGTCTGTTCTTCCCCATGTATTAAATTACTCAGCCACTTATTTATGTAAATGTAGAACAGTGTTTTTAACACATATAATCAAATTTCATATTCCCCTGCCCAGAATCCTACAGTGGCTTCACACCACATTCAGAATGAAATGGAAACTCCTCTCCATGGCTCAGAGGCCCTGTATGGTCTAGACCAAGCTTGTCCAACCCATGGCCTGTGGGCTGCATGCAGCCCAGGATGGCTTTGAATGTGGCCCAACAAAAATTCATACATTTTCTTAAAACATTATGAGATTTTTTTGTGATTTGTGTATTTATTTATTTATTTATTTTTAGCTCATCAGCTATCATTAGTTTTTTTGTGTGTGGCCCAAGACACAGTTCTTCCAGTGTGGCCCAGGGAAGCCAAAAGATTGGATACCCCTGGTCTAGACCCTTCATCTCCCCGTGCCTCGCTCTTACCACAGCTTCCTTCCCTCCGTCAGCACTGATCTGAACACCCCAAGCCCAAGCAGCTGCAGGGCCTTGCATTTGCCCTTCTTTCTGCCCAGCAGGCCTTCCCTCAGACCTTCACCTGGTTGGCTTCCTCACTTCATTGAGTCTCTGAGAGCCCTTTCATCACCACCTCATTTAAAAAGAATTTTCTGTCCCGGTTCACTGTTTCCTTACCCTGCATTTCTTTATTGCATTATCCCTGCTGATGTCTATATTTATTTTTTGGGTTTCTTATTTTTCTCCCAGTGTAATCTGAGCTCCATGGGGGTGGGGCTATTCACCAGAACATCCCTAACTGGTAGAGCAGTGCCTGGCACATAGTAGGAGCTCAGGAAGTATCTGTTGAATAAATGTGTGAACTACTTATTTTTTGAAAGAAATCATCTTCATGTCTCTCTGGCCAAAGCATCCTATGTCTTTATGAACTGGATCAACAAAGTCTCCTATGTTGTTATGAAATCATTCCCGTCTTTTTCCCTTCAGTGTCCTGAAGGCATTTTAGGAAGAGACTTGGCTTTTTTCTTCTTCTTCTTCTTAATGAGCACTATGGTGTTTAAGATTGTAAATAAAAGCTGAGTGCGGTGGCTCATGCCTGTAACCCCAGCACTCGGGAAGGCCGAGGTGAGCAGATCACTTGAGGTCAGGAGTTTGAGACCAGCCTAGCCAACATGGTGAAACCCTGTCCCTACTTAAAACACAAAAATTAGCCAGGCATGGTGGCACATGCTGATAATCCCAGCTACTCAGGAGGCTGAGGCAGGAAAATCGCTTGAACCCAGGAGGCGGAGGCTGCAGTGAACCGAGATCATGCCACTGCACTCCAGCTTGGGCGACACAGCAAGATTCTGTCTCAAAAAAAAAAAAAAGTACATAGATAAAAGTTCTAAGTTTCTGTTATTTGATGTATACTTGACTGTATTTAAAGTTTGATTGAGTGAGATAAGCCATCACTGGACACTCATCACTGAGGAGTCCTGCCGGGACACCAGCTGCCCCTAGGGGAACTGCTGCCTCAGGATTGGAACCTTCCTCCACCCCTACTTCTTTATATTTGCATTACAGTGCTTCTTGGAGCCAACCAGTCTTACCTGATTAGGAATCTCTGTTGATAATGACTTGATTCCTATATTAACCTCCTCTGTGGAAGATCCCTTGGCTTTGCAGTTACTCAAAACCAGAAAGCTTCTCTAGATACTTCCAGAGAAGTGCCACAGGGCTTCTTTTCATCATCATATGAAGCAAATTTCTTTCAGAGCTTACCTCCTGACCCATAATTTTCCCTCGTCTCACTCTATTAAGCAGCTGTTACTTTTAGCTCCAGTTTTCAGGAATTGCAAACCTGTTCTTCACAGCCAGCCTCAGTCTCAAGCAAGCTACTTTTCTGAGACTCAACTCAGGCTCTCACAAGACTGACTACAATATAGAAAATTTACTCAGTAGGCTGCCAGTCCATGCTTCTCTGGAGGAAGAAAAATCATCTTGGTTTTTTTTTTCTTTTAAAAAAGAAAAACACTTGATAATTTGGTAAAAAGCCTCTTACCCAGATTTGCTATGCTGTTTTGCCCTTGTTTATTTAGAAACTGCCACATGAAAAGACTTACTGAATCTTCATGCTCTAGACAGGAAACAAGGTCTTCATGGTACAACATGTTTCAGGCAGAGCCAAGAGTGTACAGAGTGAAGCAGGGTCATCGTGGAGCCCTCAGTGAGAGCTGCCTTTCTGGTTAATCAATAAAAGGGAGCCACCACCTACTCATGTTCATTGGCTACCATATTCTTTTTTTTTTCTTTTTTCCCCAGATGGAGTCTCGCTCTGTCACCCAGGCTGGAGTGCAGTGGCACAATCTCAGCTCACTATAACCACCACCTCCCAGGTTCAAGCAATTCTTCTGCCTCAGCCTCCCAAGTAGCTGAGATTACAGGCGCCCACCACCACACCTGGCTAATTTTTGTATTTTTACTAGAGACAAGGTTTCACCATGTTGGCCATGCTGGTCTTGAACTCCTGACCTCATGATCCTCCTGCCTCGGCTTCCCGAAGTGCTGGATTACAAGTGTGAGCCACCGCACCTGCTGGCTACCATATTCTTAAAGGAGTTAACAAGGGTCAGAAATATCAGTGGATATGCAAATCACAATCACATAATTTCTCCACAAAACATATACAAATGGCCAGTAAGCACATGAAAGTACGCTCAACATACTAGTCATTGGGGAAATACGAATTGCCTTACAATGAGATACCACTTCACACCCATTAGGATGATGTGGAAAAAATAGAACCTTGATACATTGCTGGCAGGAATGTAAAATAATACAGTCACTTTTGAAAACAGTTTGGCAGTTTCTCAAAAGGCAGTTACCATATGACCCAGTAATTCCATTCCTAGGTACGTACACAAGAGAAATAATAACATAACTCAACATACATGCTCAAAGCAGCACTATTCAAAACAGCTGAAAAGTGGTAACAACCCAAATGTTCATCAGCTGATGAATGGGTAAACAAATAGTGGTATATCCATGTAATGGAATATTATTCAGCTGTAAAAGGGAATGAAGTACTGATATGTGGTACAACATGGGTGAACTTTAAAAACATTTTGCTAAGTGAAAAAAGATAGACATAAAAGGTCAATATTGTATGGCTCCATTTATATGAAATATCCAGAATAGGCAAATTCATAGAGATGGATAATGGAGGTCAAGGGCGAGGGAAGGGGGATGGGGAATGACTACTTAATGGGTATGCTGTTTCTTTTTGGGGTGGTGGCTTCACAACCTCATGAATACATTAAAACTACTGAATTCGGCCAAGCCTGATGGCTCACACCTGTAATCCCAGGACTTTGGGAGGCCAAGGTGGGTGGATTATTTGAGGTCAGGAGTTTGAGACCAGCCTCGCCAATATGGTGAAACCCTGTCTCTACTAAAAATACAAACAATGAGCTGAGCATGGTGGTGCACACCTGTAGTCCCAGCTACCCGGGAGGCTGAGGCAGGAGAATTGCTTGAACTCGGGAGGCAGAGGTTGCAGTGAACTAAGATCATGCCGTTGCAGTCCAGCCTGGTGACAGAGTGAGACTCTGTCTCAAAAAGGAAAAAAAATTACTGAATTATATGCTTTTTAAAAGTGGATTTTATGGTAGGAAAATTATATCTTAATTTTTAAAAAATTTACTATTGAGAACTTGATACCTACTAGGATGGTTAAAAGAAAAAAGTAGTAAGTAAATAAAAAATAAAAAGTAAATAAAACAACAGGTGTTGGTGAAGATGTAGAGAAATTGGAAATCTCATTTATTATTAATGCAATTGTAAAATGGTACAGCCACTTTAGAAAGCAGTTTGGGAGTTCCTCAGATGTTAATTATAGTTATCATATAATTCAGCAATTTTACTCCTAGGTGTCTACCCAAGAGAAATGAAAACATACATAGACAAATACTTGTGAATGAAAGTTCATAGCATCTTCATTTGTAATAACCAAAAGCTGGAAACAATAGATAATAACCAAAAGCTGGAAACAATAGAATACTATACAGCAATAAAAAAGAAGGGACTACTAGGCCAGGCACGGTGGCATGTGCCTTTAGTCCCATCTACTCAGAGGCCAAGGTGAGAGCCCAGGAGTTCAAGAGTGCAGTGAGCTGTGATCATGCCACTGCATCCTGCATACCAGCCTGTGTGATAGAGCAAGACCTTATCTCAAAAAAAAAAAAAAAAAAAAAAGACTAGTTCATGGAAAAACATGAATTAACCCCAAAAACATTATGCCAAGTGGAAGCCAGAAACCAAAGACTATGTGTTTATATGAAGTTTCTAGAAAAGGCAGAACTATAGACAGAAAGCAGACGCATGGCTGCCTGAGGTTGGGGGTGGGAGTGGCGACTGGTGACAAACTGGCATGAGGGAATTTTTTGCGGTGATGGAAAATGTTCTAAAACTGGACTGTGGTGATTGGTTGCACAACTGTTTAAATTTACTAAGACTCATTGAATTGTATACTTAAAACGGGTGGATTTATGATATGTAAATTATATGTCAAAAATCTTTTTTAAAAATCAGTCAATCTAGAACTCTGGGTATATTTGGATCAGAAAAAAAAAAACTTTCTCCCGACTTCCCCACTTTAGACTCGTCCTCCCACTGACTTGAGCTTTAACTTTGATGCCAACAAACAACAAAGACAGCTTATTGCAGAACTGGAAAACAAAAACAGGTAAGAACGCAGAGGCTGAGCCCACTTCCAGAGTCCAGGATTATCACGTGCGTATCTGATTCTCATTTTCCTTGGATACTAGGTGGCTTTTGACCGCCAAGGAAGACCTTGCCTCAGTGAACCTAGGCTAGCCCAAGTCCAGGGAATGCCCTGGACGCTGATTTGTGTCTGTCTGCATGCTGTTGATTCTGGTAGTCCACAGCTCTGCTCACCTGCCCTCGGGGGATTCCTTTTAGCAGGGCCTCCTCCCACCCATCCGTGTGACCCCCTCTCACAATTGCGTTTTCCACTCTGCTTCCCAGCAACATTTTGCTGTATCTAGTCATCTTGTCCTGACCCATTATGCTATGTAGGACTGTCTGGTCTCTCCTTAAAAAAAAAAAAAAATTAATGCCATTTAACGGCACAGAGAGCAGACAGCACACCATTATGTACTGAAAGGTAGAAGCCAGGATGTGGAGACCCGACCTAAGGTAACAGGCATAGATAGAAGCAACATAGCTGTCTACTGGGGCATCGGGGACAGAGGGAAGGAAGGGGCAGGGAAGGATTAAGGGAAGTCAGCACAGGACCTGCATTAGGAGGTTGCAAGGAGTTCCCTTTTCCTCCTGCCTGAGTGGAACGGAGTAAATAAAGTATTCTGGCTGTAATTTTCCTTTCTTGGAGATTTTTCAGGTCCTTGAGAAGAGTATTTTTATGACTTTTTCCACCACAAAGGATTGCTTTGTTGAGGAAATGTCAGGTGAAGCAGTATTGAGAAGGTGTCCATTTCACCTCTTGGCCATTTGGAAGCAATCAAAACAAGATTGGTAGAGGAGGCACTGCTAGAGTTGAAAAGTTGTAATAGGGAAAGAGGGAGCGTGAGTGAGAAGCACTGTGCAGCCCCTTTCCGTTCACCCATCCTCTCTAGAGAGATCCTGCAGGAGATTCAGCGTCTCCGCCTGGAACACGAGCAGGCCTCCCAGCCCACCCCTGAGAAGGCACAGCAGAACCCCACGCTGCTGGCAGAGCTGCGGCTGCTGAGGTGAGTAGGGACACTCTACCACTTGCCACATGTAATCTACTATGGATGGAACTTATCTGAGGAAACCAAAGGAGTGGGGTAGAATCTGTTGTTCAGTATAAACAATCCTGTGAGCGCAGACCACTGAAGAGTTCACCCATTCTGTTGCTGCTTCAGATGTCTGGGTTCCATTAGAGATCACTCTAAGAATGTCAGCCATTATCACAGAACTTGGTAAATACCAGTCTCCCAGCTCCAGGACCAGCAGGGCACTGTTTATACTTCTGTGATTGCTTTAAGAAGACCACTGTGCTGCAGTCTGTCTCTTAACTTGCTAATTTGTCTGACTTTAGAGACACTTGGCGGGAAGAATGCTTTGCCTTTGCTGTGAGTATATTCTCCTGGCACTTTACAGTCAATGCAGGGCTCTGCCGAAGGAGAAGGATGCTTCCTGTGCGCATCTCTGAGACATGAAACCCTTGCACCATGGCTTCTAAACAAAGTGTCTCAAGAATCAGGAAACTAAGGACATAGGATGAGAATGGGAATAGAGAGCAGCGTCACCACCATGTTTGATGGTGTTTTGGAGGGAATGGGGAAGTCTTCACAGAAGTGATCTGATCCATTGTTAGGGTCTTATTGCCTATGAGCCTTAGAAAGGGGTGTGTGTGTGTGTGTGTGTGTGTGTGTGTGTGTGTGTACGCACTCTTCTGTAAGTTAAGACATTATGGAAACTACATTTAGTGACTTCTCACCAGATTTCTAGATTTTCAAATAGTGGATTCTTTCTGTTTAGGTTGATTTTTAATTTGCTATCATCTAGGATTCTGTGTAGCCTCTTGTTTCTTTTCCCAGAGAATGGAGATTATTGTTTTCTGTAGATGTTCTACTGTTTAGATTTATATCATCAATAAAAGTTGTCATAGTAGAGTCATAAAGAATTTAAACTGTGCAGGTGAAAAAAAATCATTAGATGTATAGAGATTTTCGTTCTCTTAAAAACTTATTTTAGTTTCTCAATGTAGTTAGGCTGAGATTTGGGTGGCTCTGTGGTTTACTGCTGCAAGTCTGTGGTGTTAGTACAGCTGGTGTCGTACTAGGGAGGATGGGAACACAAATGCTGCTGACTTGGGCAGAGTGTAAGTCTAGGCTGTTGGCGTAAGATGCACCTGTTGTCTAGTGCCTGGTTTTATATCTAGAAAAGCAAAAAGGCCTGTCATCCTGAGTCTAACTGTTGCTGAAACTGGATTGCTGAAAGTGCTCAGTTAAGCCGGAAGGATCTGAAAAATATCTTAGATGTAGTAGCAGGGCTGAGTCCAGGAATGTCACATAGGATAGCAAGAAGCAGAAATGTAAATCTGAGACCAATGAGGGTCTGAAGTTGGAGTAATCAGAAAGTATTTAACCTCAAAAGCAGTTCCTATATCACTGAAGAAAGGAGGGACTATTTTAAAGTGTGCTGGGACAGTTTTCTATGCCTATGTACAAAACATACTGGTCTTCTACTTCACACTAATTACAAAAACCGACACCAGATGGATTCAACATGAATACAGAACTTTAAAACTTCTAGAAGACTCGGGAGGCTGAGGCAGGAGAATTGCTTGAACCTGGGAGGCGGAGGTTGCGGTGAGCCAAGATCATGCCATTGCACTCCAGCCTGGGCAACAAGAGCAAAACTCCATCTCAAAAAAAAAAAAATTCTAGAAGAAAGTAGGAGAATGTCCTCAGGATTTTGGAATAGAAAGTAGTATCTCAGAATTACCATGAAAGAAGAAGTTGGTAAATCCATTTATATTAATATTAAGAACTTTTGCTTATCAAAAGACACATAAAGGGCTGGATTCACTTGTAGGTATCTGACATCTGTCTGGTTTTGATCAGTATATATGAGGCCAGGGACTGCCAGCACCCAGCTAGTATAATAAAACAAGGTAGACAACTTCACCCATAGGGTGAGTGGCTATGAGCCTTGACCACCAGGGATGCCTTTTCTTCCTTTATTATTATTTTTAATGGTACGTTGCTTACAATAAAATGTATGACGAATGTGTGTGCGACAAACGTATATGAAGCGTAATAGTCAAATGAATACTTATAAACCCACATCCTATTTGAGAACTCATAATATGACTAAAACAATGCCATCCATAGAAGTACCTCTCCCTTACCCCATTTCCTTGCCTCCACCTTCCCCACTGGGTGAACGCCTATCCAGAATTTGGTTTATCATTACCTTGTGTTTAAAACAATATTGTCGCATTATCACTATCCTATGTAATAAGCTGTTTAGTTTTGCTTTTTGTTTTCTAAGCTTAATAGAAATATTATACTAATATGGTGGGGATAGTCCCAGAGGACTTCCCTCTCCACCCCCTACCCCCACCATATTAGCCTTTAGGATCGTTCTCTGTGGTTGGATGTAGCTGTAGCTCATTCATGTTCAGCTTATACCGTAATTGTTTGGTCACACACAGTACAGATAAAGAATATCACACCCAGGCTCAGGAGTTCAGAGGAAGAAGTCTTCCTAGAACATTGAATGAGTAGATCCTTCTTATCGAGGGTCTACTGCACTGGAAATGTAGAGAGTATGAAGACTAGAAGACAATGAGTCCTTCCTAAAAACTTATAATCTGGTTTTGGAACAAAACATAAAATAATTTGATAGTTAAAAAATATTGTGCAATGTCAATAAACAGTATGGATAAGAAATCTGTGTAGGGAAATATATATAATATAATGTATGTATACACACAAGATTTTACATATATAATACCTATATAATATAGGTATTATATCTATATTTATTCCCTACCACCTTTGTGTGTCTAATTTTCCTCTGGAAGCATTTGGAACCATGGAGGTGGTAGAAGTTGAGCTAGACCATGAAAAGTAGATAATGATTTGGATGGAGTGTAGGACAAAACATTTCAGATTGGAAGTGCACTTGGGGTTCAGCATGATTCCCCCCAAATAATTATGGCACATTTCAGAAAAGGGAAAGAGTCTTGGAACTAAGAATTTCTTTTCAATCATTCATTACATCAATCTTCAGAGTGCCAGTGATAGGAGATATAATTAGCCAGGCAATTGAGATCAGATTCTAGAAAGTCTTAATTGTTAGGTCATTGGAAACCCTTGGAGAGTTTCAAATCATGATTTTGGTAAGTTCAGTAGATGTTAATTAGGTGATACTGGATGCATGATATTTTCTTAATCCTTCAATACATGCAAGGATGAGTAAGGCCCATCCCCTGACCTCAAGGATTTTGCATCATGGTAGGAATGGCAGCAGTAAAGTAAATTAAGTACCACTGAGGAGCACTAATTACTGTAGTGCTTAATCAAGCAGTCCCTGCTGAAGTGATCAGGAGCAGCTTCCCGACAGTGATGTTGGGTCAGACATTACGGAATGAATAAGATTTGGAAGAGAGGTGAGTTATAAAATGATGGAGCCCACTTAGGAAAAATGAACCGTAAGCTGGAGGTCCAGACACAAAGGGCATAAGATAGGAGGTGTGGTACTAAGGACAGGAATGTAGATGGGATCTAGAGCCGCACTCGCCGATAGAAATGCAGGCCACGCACATAATCAAAACATTTCTAACAGCCTCATTGAAAAACCAAAAAGTAATAGGCGTCATTAATTTTAATAGTATATCTTACTTAACCTGATATTTTCAAAATATTGTCCTTTCAACATGTAATCAGTATTAAAACATGATCCAGATACTTTGCTGTTTCCTGCACTAAGTCTTTGAATTCCAGTGTGTATGTTACAATTGCCGTGCATCTCAGTTCAGCCTAGCCCTGTTTCAGGGGCTCGGTAGTCACGCGTGGCTAGCGGCTGCTGTGATAGACAGCGTAGGTCTCGATTGCACAGGCAAGGGTCAGTGATGCTAGAAAGTCTGTTGAGATCATTATGGGATGATGAAATGAACATAGCTTTGTTTTGAGCGGCAGTTTAAAGTTCGTAGAACACTCTCATATTTATTACCTTATATGATCCTCAGAATATTGTTGCTGTTACTAGTCCCCTTTTAGAAGAGAGAAAACTGAGGCTAAGTGACTTGTCTAAGGTTGCATATTTGGTAAATACTGGTGCTGATACTCAACTTTGAGGCCATTGACTTCTATTTCACTGCTTTTTCCTCACCATAAAAGATGAAAGAGCCAGGTGCGGTGGCTCACGACTGTAATCCCAGCACTTTGGGAGGCTGAGGCAGGTGGATCACTTGAGGTCAGGAGTTCGAGACCAGCCTGGCCAACATGGTGAAACTCCATCTCTACTAAAAATACAAAAATTAACTGGGCATGGTGGCGATGCCTGTAATCCCAGCTATTTAGGAGGCTGAGGCAGGAGAATCACTTGAACTGGGGAAGCGGAGGTTGCAGTTGAGACAAGATGGCACCACTGCACTCCAGCCTGGGCGACAGAGTGAGACTCCGTCACAAAAAAAAAAAAAAAGAAAGCAGGATTAATCACATAAGGAGACTGTTTCATGCTTGAGGTAAGGAGTGCTTAGATAAAGTGAGAGAAATGGGAATAGAAAGATAGGCACATACATTTTCCAAGAAAGAATGATCTGAATTGAGTTATTGATTGAATACAGGATATAAAGAAGAAAGTAACAAAGAGGACTGAGTTTTTCAACCATGACACCTGGAAGGAAAAATAGCAGAGACAGGGAAAAGAGACAGAGACAAGGAAAAAAAAAGAGACAGAGACAAGAAAACCATTTAGGGAATAAAGTCTTAAGTCTGGTTTTGGACATATTGAGCTGGAGTAGATGGCATAAAATCTATCCTCAAGGAAAAGTGACTGTTCTTGAACACAGGGAGCCGTCCTGATCTGTCATCCTTCTTGAATCTGTCTAGTGCTGAAAGTACTTACTACTGGACCCTGTTTTCTCTGAGCAGTTTAATATGGTTTCTTTACTATTAATCTAAATTTGGGCTAATTTTATATATTTTTCAAAAGGCATTGATTTTCTAAAGAGTTTTTTAATCATTAATTCACTCTGGTAATATAAGTAATACCTTTATATAGTCATCTAAACTTTCCAAAGCACTTTTACCTATTATTCTCAGAACAGTCCAGGAAGTAGGCAAAACAGACATTATCACCATTTTATGAGGTATTGGATGCTAAATGACTTGCTCAGCGTCTCATAACTGGTAAGTAGCAGGATCAGGTCTGAAATCCATTTCACCTGGCCTTAGATCCATCTTTGAGGGTCTCTTTATCTGATAGGCTTCTCGTCTTGGATAGGCAAAGGAAGGATGAACTGGAGCAGAGGATGTCGGCCCTGCAGGAGAGCAGGCGGGAGCTGATGGTCCAGCTGGAAGAGCTGATGAAGTTGCTGAAGGTAAGAGCCCGTGGCCCACGCTCAGTTCTTGTCATTCTTCTCCCACCACAGCCTCAGCTGCTGCCTCCCTGTGATGTCAGAATAGGATGAGGCCAAAGGCTTGACTTTAGCCTAGAATCAGTTTTCAGATAAATTTAGCCTAATTGGGTATAAAAGTCATCTAAATTAGTGCAAAGCCAGATTATTAAAAAATTAGTAACTGGAAATAGGATAATGTCTCGAGCAGTTGCTTTTATGAATAAATAAGAATGTTTATAAATAGGATATTAGCTATGTAAAAATGAATAATATTTCTCAACTACTTAAAGTAGTGTGTGTGTGTGTGTGTGTGTGTGTGTGTGTGTGTGTGTGTGTTTTGAGATGGAGTCTCGCTGTGTCACCCAGGCTGGAGTGCAGTGGCACAATGTTGGCTCACTGGAACCTCCGCCTCCCAGGTTCAAGTGATTCTCCTGCCTCAGCCTCCCGAGTAGCTGGGATTACAGGCGCCCACCACCACGCCCAGCTAATTTTTTTGTATTTTTGGTAGAGATGGGGTTTTGCCATGTTGGCCAGGCTGGTCTCAAACTCCTGACCTCAGGTGATCCACCCACTTCAGCCTCCCAAATTGCTGGGATTACAGGCATGAGCCATTGCTCCTGGCCTTAAAGTTTCTGTTAAGACAAGTTTTCAAATATTCCACTTAAATACTTAACAAATATTAAGTGTCCTATTTCAATAAGTAGTACAGAGACAACTGTATTAGGGTTCTGCAGAAAAATTGGACCAGTAGAATGTATATAAAGATATCTAAGAGGGGATTTATTATGGAAATTGTCTCACACAGTCATGGAGGTAAAGGAGTCTCATGTTAATGCCATCTGCATCCTGGAGAACCAAGAAAGCTGGTGGTGTAATTCAGTCTGTCTCTGAAGGGTTGAGAACCAGGAGAACTGACGGTGTGATTCCGAATCTGGGAGGTGGGTTGGGAGATGGGTGGTGTTGGGTTGCTGGTTTAAGTCCCAGAGTCCAAAGGCCCAAGAACCTGGGGAGCTCACATGTCTGAGGGCATTGACTATTCACAACAGTCAAACATTGGAACTAATCCAAATGATCATCAGCAGTAGAATGGATTATGAAGTTATAGCCTATTTATACCATGAAATTGTATAATAATTAAATTGTACAAACTAGAGCTACACCCAAGCGATTTCTTCTATCCAAGTCCTCAGTGGATTGGATGATGCTGCTCATGTTGGTGAAGGCAGATCTTTTTTCAGTCTAATGATTCAAATGCCAATCTCTTTTGGAAACACCCTCACAGACACACCCAGAAATTATGTTTTACCAGCTATCTGACTATCCTTTAATCTGGTAAAGTTGACACATAAAAATAACCATCACACAAACCAACCTAATTAAACCATTCTAATCAGTAACTTCACTATATTAAGAGTAAGATAGCATATTAGCTGTAGGTTTGGGATACTGGGGAACTAAATACATGCATAATAAGTCAGGTCTATCTTGTGGCGTGATCATAGCTCACTGTAACCTTGCTTGAGCTGGGTCCAAGGGATCCTCCTTCCTCAGCCTCCTGAGTGGCTAGGACTACAGGCATATGAAGTCTATCTATTGTTGTTGAAAGTTATATTACAACCCCTGTACCCCTGAGCAAAGAAAGGCATGGTTGGCATTTGAATGCCCTCCCCCTGGACAATTTTATTGGCATCGAACAGAAATATCTACCTGGTTACATAGCAGCAATACCAGGATACTTGCTCCTGCTATTACTTTCTCAGGTCCTGCCCAGCGATGCTGAGAACTCCCTGCATTTTGTAGTATGATATCGAGTTAACAGCCAGAGAAAATCACAAAGTGTGGAGTGCCCCCAAAGCCAGATGACAGGAGTGAATTTAATCTTGTGATAAAGTGGAGTCATTGGAGGTTTTAAAAATAACAGTTTAGGAAAATGCGCAGGGCAAGTTAGAGTGGGAAGAAACTAAAGGATAATAGGAGACTAATTTCATCCTCCAGGCCCGAAGTGACAAGGATCTTAACCCCAGGAGTGGTAGCCCAGGAGAATATCAGTTTAGAGACTTTCTCCAACTTCTGCATTCTAAGTCAGTCTCTTAGTAATGAAGCTAGTGGGCATTAGCAACTTGGATAAATGTAGCATTTGTGTTTTAAACTGAATTTTGACTTGCTCAAGACAATTACTGTTTTGTTATGAGCTGAGTTGTTGGTGGTGTTGGTGGTGGTGGTGGTTGTTGTTTTTTCCCCCTAGCTTTGGCCCTGAGTATTTGGGTTGTTTTGCATAGATATGTTTCTACATTAACCCTGTTAGCAGGATTTTTCCTCAGAAATATTTTATGTCTAAATGGGTCTTATTTAAAGAAAATCTTATGTAAAAATGTGGCCTAAATCCCTCTTAATAGTTGTCAGATACCCAGCTAAGCAACCTAGCCCCTCATCTAAACAGCAGGGATGTACTTAAACATACATGGCCTGTGTAACATCTGCAGCCTCGTGGGGCTTTAAAAGCCCTGCTGCCATGGAGTTAGTACACCTGTGGGATGGGAGATAATAGGGTATCCAGTCGGGCGCAGTGGCTAACACCTGTAATACCAGCACTTTGGGAGGCCAAGATGGGTGGATCACTTGAGGCCAGGAGTTCAGCCTGGCTGACATGGCAAAACCCCATCTCTACTAAAAACACAAAAATTAGCCGGGCACGGTGGCACGTGCCTATAATCCCAGCTACTCAGGAGGCTGAGGTGGGAGGATCGCTTAAGCCCAGGAGGTGGAGGCTGCAGTGAGCAGAGATTACACCACTGCACTCCAGCCAGGGTCAGAGAGTAAGACTCAGTCTCAAAAAAAAAAAAAATAGGGGATCCACTCACCTCTTCCCTGTGTCACATCTCCCTTTTCAGAAAGATGTTCTCAAATATTACCCAAGCATAGATGGGAAAGTCCCAGTGCCCCAGTGTGATTTTTGTAAAAGGCAAAAGGTTTATGTAAACTGCAGGGAAGCCAGAGTGTATCTCCCCTAAGTAACCTTGTACCATTGCCTTTCAGTTGGATTGTCTTAGTGATCCCCAGAACTACTGACCCCAAGCCCCATGCATGCCACTGTGGCCTTCTAGTGTACCGCTGATGCTTGTATTCAAGGGCTAAGCAGAACGAGCTAATGCCCGCAACTCTGATCCCAAACCCTGAGTTTCTTTATATTTGCAGCAGTAATTTCAGAAAAATAAGCAGGACACTGCTGCCCCTGTAGGATCCCCTGCCAGGTTCTTAAATATCATTTACCCGTCTGACAGGCTAAGGCTGTTCAGACTGGGAGGAAGAATTTGCAAACACAAATCTAGGAATGTTGCCTTTCTATCCATTGGCTAGAATTCACAGTCGAAAATCTCATGCCTTTAGTGTCCAGCTTCCTAAAAGAATTACCACGTAATCTTAATTTTTGTATTATATGCATACCTGAAAGGTCATACACAGGAATTACTGACTTCTGTTAAAATTTCAGTGTTTTCCTACTATTAGAAATATATATTCATCAACCCATAAAAGTACCCTTTAGAATCCTAATTTTAGGCCAGGTACAGTGACTCACACCTGCAATCCCAGCACTTTGGAAGGCCAAGGTGGGTGGATCACCTGAGGTCAGGAGTTTGAGACCAGCCTGGCCAAAGTGGTGAAGCCCCATCTCTACCAAAAATACAAAAGTTACCTGAGCGTGGTGGTGCGCGCCTGTAATCCCAGCTACTTGGGAGGCTGAGACAGGAGAATCGCTTGAACCCAGGAGGTGGAGGTTGCAGTGAGCCGAGATCACACCACTGCACCCCAGCCTGGGCAACAGAGCAAGAAAAAAAAAAAAGAAAAGAAAATCCTAATTTTAATTTAAAAGGGGTTGTCTGCTTTTATTGATGTTCAGTATGCTAGCATTTAATTCTCTCATAAAATAGTCGGAAGCAGTTAGTCAGATGGACAATCAAGCCACATGGTCTGAGATACTCATAAATTAAAATACATCTCACAGTAAATTTTCATGCCACAGAGAGTTCTTTCATTCTGCTGCTTCAGGAAACTATTATGTACTTTATCTTCTATCTGAAATGATAATTTAAAGAAGCATACATAAGAAGTGACATCACTGTTAATTCATTCAACAAAAATCTTAATCCTTTTTTGGAATAAAGCAGGGTTAAAATTAATTTTTTTGTTTCTTTAACAAAAATCTATTGAGTTCCTAAGTGTCACATTAGTTATTTGGCATATCATGGTGACTAGACTCAATCCCTGATCAATCAAGGAGTATCAAGGACCCTCCTTCTTTGTTTTTTTGTTTTTTTGTCTGAGATGGAGTCTCACTCTGTTGCCCAGGCTGGGGTGCAGTGGCACAATCTTGGCTCCCTGCAACCTCTGCCTCCCGGATTCAAGTGAGTCTCCTGCCTCCTGCCTCAGTCTCCTGAGTAGTTGGGATTACAGGCACCCGCCACCACAACCAGCTGATTTTTGTATTTTTAGTAGACGGGTTTCACCATGTTGGCCAGGCTGGTCTCGAACTCCTGAGCTCAGGTGATCCACCCACCTTGGTCTCCCAAAGTGCTGGGATTACAGGCGTGAGCCACCCTTTATTCTTTTTAATGACATAATGTAGACTGACACTCAGGCATTCATGTTTCTCTACATATCTTTCCCTTATACTTTTTACCTGATTAATGAGTATTAATTAATTACTGACCTCAAAAAAACTTCCTATTTAATCTAGAAGTGTTTATGTGTTGGTGTTTCTAATCCATGTTCTACTTCATTTTCCATTTGTCTGATATTGCTTTTGAAACTCATTTTACCAGGCCAGGCGTGGTGGCTCATGCCTATAATCCCAACACTTTGGGAGGCCGAGGCAGGTGGATCACCTGAGGTCAAGACCAGCCTGGCCAATATGGTGAAATCCCACCTCTACTAAAAATACAAAAATTAGCCAGATGTGGTGGTGCATGCCTATAATCCCAGGTACTCAGGAGGCTGAGGCAGGGGAATCACTTGAACCCAGGAGGCGGAGGTCACACTGAGCCGAGATCGCGCCATTGCACTCCAGCCTGGGCGACACAGTGAGACTCCATCTCAAAAAAAAAAAAAAAAAAAAAAAAAAAAGAAGAGAAAAGGAAACTCATTTACATTTACCAGATGAATTCTGCAGTTTTGAATTTCAACCTCATTTGCAAATGCTTATCTAGTTTGAGTGTAAATTTTTATGTAAATGACTACAGTGGCTATGTCATTGCTTTGGCCACCTTGCCAGACCTCATTCATGTGGAAGAGACTCACATGTTTTTAGGTGACATAAGCAGTTCTAAGTTTACACTTTATAATTAAGGTATTACCCCCTTTTAAATCACGTTGGCTCTATCCCTTGTCATCAGTCAATATTTAGTGACCCCACCTGACTAGTTGATAACACAGAGGTTCTCAGACCTGGGATCTGACCTGTTTACTGTGTTGACAGAGCCTTAAGGGCTTTATCTGAATAAGTTTTGTGAGTTTAAATTATACAACACTATCCTAAATAACACTTTGCCAAAGTCCATTCTCTCCCCAGTACCAGGCCACATGGAAGGCCTGTAAGTCCTGGAAGCGCTGCCCTGCCCACTGTCCCCAGCCTAACCTGATATATCTACTGCAAATTACGGTTTCTCTTCTGACAAACTTAAATTGCAATCACCAGATGTCCAAGTATGAAACATTGCTTTCTGAATTTCCCTATTCTGTTGAGCCACAGCAGTGTTCTCTTTAATACCAAACCTGGAGAAAACTGTGGAAGTAGGGAGATGTCTTAGAAACAGTTCTAAGAAATTACATACTGGTCTTTTGACCTCGGATACAATTTCAGCCTGTTAGGATTGCCCCATCCCTCCCCAACCATCGCACTTTCCACTTCAACACAGTGCCAGCAATGAAAACACATTTTATAATTGTTTAATAACTGTCCTATGACTGTTTGCCTTGCCTCAAGAATATAAGAAAAGTGTCCTGCCCCAAAGGGAAGTCTGGCAAGGAAGAGAGCTTGCTTCCTAACTGCAAAGCAGGTGCAAAAGCAGAAGCGCTCTAATTCCTTCCCGCTGCCAGAGCCAGTGTTCAGCGCTCTGTGCCTAGGCTCCTGTGAGTTTGGCTTTGGTCAGGCATCCAGCATCTGGCTTTGATTGTGAAGAGCACCTTCCCATGCTGAGTTGGGAGTCTCCTTAAGAGATTTCTCGGTGCCCATTTATTTCTAGTCCCTGTCTGTCCCTTGCAGTAATAAAAATTATGTTCTCCAAGTGTTTACTCACCCTCTCCCTTTCGTAATTCCTTTGCTTTACTGAGGTCTTTCTCACCATTGCACCCAGGTCTGTAGACTGTGTGGGAGCAGGAGCACTTACCCATTCCTGAGACTTCCTAGGCACGTACATGTTCAGTAAAGACTGGCTGCATGAATTGTTCCAATTTAAATAGAACCATTGCACAGCTTTTAGATTTACATACTAGGCCAAAGAGCTGAGTCTCCCTGACCACAGTGACCCATGGTGAGGCACAGAAGGAGGAAGTGGAAGAGGCCCATTAAAAGACAGAGTAGATGAGTAGCAAAGAACTGAAGAAAGAGAAACTTGAAAGTGTTCTCTTTATCCTTTTTCCTGCAGTGTCTGATAGTGCATTCATTTGGGCAGTCAGCTAATAGCCAGCAAGTGCCTGCTCTGTGTTCCATCACCATAAGGTTCTAAAAGACAGAGACCGGCCAGGTGCAGTGGCTCACACCTGTAATCCCAACACTTTGGGAGGCCAAGGTAGGCGGATCACCTGAGGTCAGGAGTTAGAGACCAGCCTGACCAACATGGTGAAACCCCATCTCTACTAAAAATACAAAATTAGCCGGGCATGGTGACACATGCCTGTAATCCCAGCTACTCCAGAGGTGGAGGTTGCAGTGAGCCCATATCGCACCATTGCACTCCATCCTGGGCAACAAGAGCGAAACTCTGTCGATAGACAGACAGATAGATAGATAGATAGATAGATAGATAGATAGATAGATAGATAGATAGATAGATTGATTTAGATGACAGAGACCATTTCTTTGTTTCCAGTGCTTTCTGCATAAGAGGACTAAATAAACCTGTATTGAATTAATGAAAAACTGAGGTCAAGAATTCTTTTTTGAATGACCTTTCAGGGTCTCCAAACAGTTTCCAGTTTACTGGGGGAAGTTGTGTATGTATGGGACTCACTGAAAAAAAAAAAAAAAAAAAAAAAAAAGACTGTGCCTGAAAGCAAGTAGACGGGGATACAGTTCCAACATGTTTAGTGTGGAGAGGGGACCAAATAAGAAAAGAACCTGTAGTGGGCAGAATTGCTAGTTGGGAAGTGATGAGGGCAGTGGGTCTCAGACTTGTATGCACCAGAATCAGAGACAAGATTGAACGCATTGCTGTGGCCCACCCCTAGAGCTTCGGTTTGGTGGGGATAGGGTGAGGCACAAAGTTTACATCTCTGACAAGTTCCCAGGTGATGCCGATGCTGCTGGTCTGTGTTCCATGCATCAAAAACCACTTGCCTCGATAAATGTACCTAAACACATGTGAATATCGTGAATGATGAATATAGAATTATTATTACAATTTCAAGTCATGGTTGCACTTCCTCTTTCAGATTCCCCTAAATAGCTATGTGAACCTTAGGCAGGTCAGGCCCTCTAGGCCTGTTTGATCTATAGTAAGAATGTTGGCGAGGTGGTTTCTAAGGTTCTTTCCTTCTAGCTCTAGGAGTTAGCATTGAATCACTCACCGGGCCGAGGCCTGCTGCTTGCTTCGTCCTCTGATGCTCCTGTGGGGGATGGGGCCTTTGATCTCAGCACCTGTGGGCCTGGCCTGGTTTGCCTGATTTTTCTATCATTTCTGACCAATGTTTGTGGTGATGGGCATTAATGGGCATTAATTTCTCTCCTTTTTTCCTCTGCCTTTTTTTTTCATCTTCAACACTCCAGGAGGAAGAGCAAAAGCAGGCAGTAAGTGAACTTCGGAATTTCCCGCCGGACTCTCGCTCCTTTGCACGTTCTTCCTTTCCTCATATAAATGTTTCTCCTCTTCTCCCCGCACATCATCTCTGAAGAGGGTTTTATGTGTAAAACCCCCAGCGGTTCTCCCCATGGTGTTGTAAAATGGCCTAAAAGTTCAAGGCATGTTTACCCAGTAGAGCATGTTCTTACTTAAAACCAGAGCTTGTAAGTACCCATCTGTTGTGCGCATTGAAGTGTGCATGATTAGCCAGGCTACCATTGCATTTTCCTGCTCTTTCATTCTCTGTTGTTGTGTGTCTGGAGTGATTTTAATTGCTTGAAACAACTTTCAGGGTGCTGGGGTGACCTCATGTCATGAATGAATGTGCATGAAAATGAGGACTTCTTTTGCTAACTATAGATGTCCTGCAGTCTCGACTAGGCTTCTGGATGCTGGGGCTGTGCCAGCCTCCTTAACAAAATTACTGACGACGACTGAGACACTGACTCCACTTGCAATGATTTCCTGTTCAGAACCTACTCCAGACGGAGCTCGGGTTTTTCTGAGCTGTGTGGCTATTGCATGGTGTTTGGGGGAGGTTTATGTTTGTTTCTGTTTATCCTGATAGCCACTGACCCACACAAGAAAGTCAATTGCAGGCTTATCTACAATATTAGCACCATATGTTTATATAACATAGTAAGATTTCAAAGCATACATTTTTTAAGCTGAAGCTGAGTTTTCGTTTACCTTGGAGCTTTTTTATCCTTTGGGAGATAAATACAAAACGTTTAATTTTTAAAATTTGCCTTTTTTTTTTTTTTGAGACGGTGTCTCGCTCTGTCTCCCAGGCCAGAGTACAGTGGCATGATCTCGGCTCACTGCAACCTCCGCCTCCCAAGTTCAAGTAATTCTCCTGCCTCAGCCTCCTGAGTAGCTGGGACTACAGTCACGCACCACCACACCCAGCTAATTTTTGTATTTTTAGTAGAGACAGGGTTTCACCATATTGGCCAGGCTGGTCTCGAACTCCTGACCTCATGATCCGCCTGCCTCAGCCTCCCAAAGTGCTGGGATTACAGGCGTGAGCCACCACGCCCAGCCTACCCATTTTTTTAAAAAACACAAATGTATACATGTTTTAGGTTAGGAATATAAAACATTATACTTATAATTTCTAGCTAGGAGAGCAATGGGACCATAGAGTAAAGGCGAGAGGAAAGGAAAGAAGAGATCAGTAGTGAGGGGAGGAGGTGAGAAGAGGGTACGGAGGAGACAGACTGTCAGGGGGAAAGAAGATGGCACATGGCATCAAGAGTGGCCGACAACCCAGAAATCTGATGGCTTTCGTGGAACCAAAGTGCACTTGTTTTGGTTTTTCCTAGGTTTGGTTTTGCTTTTTTCTTTATTCACACAGAGTTTATTGCTTCCATCTCTGGCGTTTCTGCATCAGTAGGTACACTTACATGGGCAAAGCTGAACAGGATGCAAATCAAGCCCAGCCATTACATGCTTCTTCCAGGAAGTGACACGCATCACTTCCTCTCCATTTCATTGGCCAGAGCAAATCACATGACCACACTTCACCTCAAGGGGGCTGGGAAGTCTAATCCTCCAGTTTATCTAGAAGTCCCAGAGAAGCAGATGTTGGAAATACCTCCCCCAAGTAGACAAATGAGTGAGACTGTTGGAGGGAGAGGAAGGAGACTACTTATCCTTCCAGCTCCTGATGGTCTCATCCCCTTGTTATGAAGTATTCCCTTCCTGATGATCCAGGGTGTCACTTCACCTGTTGTTGCTGACCACTAGCATCCCCTCCTTCTCTTCAGCCCTCCATACCCCAGAGATGCACTTTGCAGCTGCAGCTACTTGCTGCAAACCTACTTCCAACAGTCTGCCCAGACTAACAGCATCTTCTGATCTCTCTCTGCGTGTGCCAGCTCCAAGTGAGCACAGACTGGAAACACCCGACACCTCACCTGAAAACTCTTTCAGAAGAGGGCAGGCATTGTGGATATTGGTCTTAGTCGTAGCAGTAGAGCTTCCAGTAGACATTTAATTTTTAAAATTTTTATGGATTACCATGTAATCCAAGAAACAGGAATTGCCACTGCTGTGATATTAGTTCTCAGGTCAATTTAAAGCTAGCCTTGAGCAGACAGGGGATTAAATAACGTGTCCATTTCAGTGACCTTTCATTCTGTGTGAGATCACCATCCCCTTGAAGTTGGCAAAATGAGAACCTAGACTGCTGAAGCCTGCCTCTAATGAGCCACTGTAGGTATATCTTGGGAGTTCTCCATGGCCAGGGACCTGAGCTCATGTCCAAGTCCTTACAGTCTTATAGGACTGTCCATAGCGTGAATTGGTACAATTTGTTTTTTCCTCAGCTTTCCCCACCATGGTATGAGGTAAGAAGTGCTGCTCTGTTGACTTAGATAGAAATATCCTTCTGTCCACTTCACAGGTTTAAACTGGACCCATGTAAGTTCAGCTCTGAGGCTCAAATTTGGACTGAATGACTTTACGTAATTCAATGTTTTTCAGATGTACAACTGAAGAGACTATAAAGCTTTAGAACTAGCTTCTGTTTAATCCCCACCATTATTGAGTGACAGGCCAAAACATAGGCGTATTTAACACAGAACTATGATATAACCCTAACCCAACCACCCTTCCTTCCTTCCTTCCTTCCTTCCTTCCTTCCTTCCTTCCTTCGTTCCTTCCTTCCTTCCTTCCAGGTTCTGGCTGGTGTAGTTTAATTTCTTTCCTATCAAAATGTCTTACCCTAAATGGGTAAGAAAATAATTGTATAACTTGTTAGCTTGCAGGTAGGGAAAATTTTTTTCTTTTTTCTGAGACAGAGTCTTGCTCTGTCACCCAGGCTGGAGTACAGTGGTGCGACCTTGGCTCACTGCAACCTCCGCCTCCTGGGTTCAGGTGATTCTCTTGCCTTAGCCTCCCGAGTAGCTAGTATTACAGGCGCCCACACTGGGCTAATTTTTGTATTTTTAGTAGAGATGGGGTTTTGCCATGTTGTCCACACTGGTCTCGGACTCCTGACCTCAGTTGATCCGCCCGCATTGGCCTCCCAAAGTGTTGGGATTACAGGCGTGAGCCATCACGCCCGGCCAAAATTTTAAAAAGAAAAGAATTGTAAAACACTTTTAAAATGAAGAGTTTATTAGATGTGCTTCCCAAAACTGGCTCTGTAAATCCATTATAGAGAACTTTTGATAGTGTCCACCTTCTTGCTTCATTCCCCTTAGGGATTTACTGCTTACTACTACCAGGATCTCTTTCTACCCAGATAACACTCTGACACCAAATGTGTAGGTTTCTTACACCAAAAAATTCAGTTCTCTGCAGACACCAGCTGGGTGTCCTACGATTTAATTCAATTCTGACACTACCTGGAGTTAGGGCAGAGCCCACAGGTTAAGGGCTCTGTCCCACAGGAGTGCCTCACACTTCAGACACCAATCACAAGTAGTGGTTCTTCAGATTACCCACACTTCTGTCCAACTTGGCTACAAATCAGGGCTCCCACAACCCCTTCCTCAGGCTCAATAATTTGCTGTAATGGTTCATGAAACTCTGAGAAGCACTTTACTCACTATTACTAGTGATTTTAAAGGTTATTATAAGGGCACAGGTGACCATCCAAGGTGACGATGTACATAGGGCAAGTTCCAGAAGGGTCCAGGAGCTTCAGTCCCCATGGAGTTGGGGTATATACCACCTCCTGGCATATAGACATGCTCACCAACCGGAAGCTCTCTGAACCCCTCAGTTAGGGTCTTTATGGGGGTTCCATTATGTATGCATGATTGATTCATTCATTGGCCATTGGTGATTAACTCAATCTTTAGCCCCTCTCCCCTCCCCAAGGCCTGGTGGAAGGGGCTGAAACTTTCAACCCTCTAATAATGCCGTGGTCTTTCTGGCAACCAGTCCCCATCCTGAAGCTATCCAAGATTCCCGAAGCCCGGTCATCTCATTAGCATGCAAAAGACACGCATATCACTCTGGAGATTCCACGGGTTTTAGAAACTCTGGTCCAGCCTGGCCAACATAGTGAAACCCCATCTCTATTAAAAATACAAAAATTAGCCAGGCATGGTAGCATGCACCCGTAGTCCCAGCTACTCGGGAGGCTGAGGCAGGAGAATCGCTTGAACCTGGGAGGTGGATGTTGCAGTGAGCCAAGATCACGCCACTGCACTCCAGCCTGAGCAACGGAGCGAGACTCTGTCTCAAAAAAAAAAAAAAAAAAAAGAAGCTCTTATGCCAGGAACCTGGAATGGAGACCAAATATATATTGGTTATATCATAGTATCACAGGGTTACTTTGGCATTTGGGAAACTTGAGAGAAATGGGCAATAACTGTTACTTTAAAAGCTTGGGTGCTGTGATTCTGCCTTCAGCCTCAGCCACTTTTGTGGTGCTTTGCGTGGCATCAGTACCTCCACTGATTCTTCTGTCTTTCCTCTCTCTCTTCCCCCCTCTTTCCCTTCTGTTTTTCTCAGATCTAAGGGTTATAATGGAGGGGCAAACTGCCTGGCTATTTCAGATAAGACTTCACTGAGTGACTGTTCAGCCCATGATTTACCCTGCAGTTTAACAGGCTCAGGAATTAGGTCGCATCAGTTGAGCGCGGGTCACTTAGGCCTATAATCATCATCAGACGGCAATTAAAGGACCATTTCTGCCTTTTTCACTATTACATCCCCCGCCTGTAGCCCAGCCTGCCATACAGTAGATACTCAATAAATATTTGCTGAATGATAACCAATATTAACCAATTTTATAAGATTTTGACTTATACTCTGTATGAATTAATAATTGTATTAATTATAAGGGACATAACTAGTTGACGTACCTATAGCAGTGATTTTGCTCAAGGCACTCCCAGATAGATCCATTCAGGAGATCCACTCAGAAATATCCTTTATCAAAAAGAATCTGGGCCAGGCATGGTGGCTCATGCCTGTAATCCCAGCACTTTGGGAGGCCAAGGCAGGTGAATCACGAGGTCAGGAGATCGAGACCATCCTGGCTAACACGGTGAAACCCTGTCTCTACTAAAAATACAAAAAATTAGCCGGGCGTGGTTGTGCACCTGTAGTCCCAGCTACTCAGGAGGCTGAGGCAGGAGAATGGCGTGAACCCAGGAGGCGGAGCTCACAGTGAGCCGAGATCGCACCACTGCACTCCGCACTTCAGCCGACAGAGCGAGACTCTGTCTCCAAAAACAAACAAACAAAAAAAAACTACCATCAGAGTGAACAGGCAACCTACAGAATGGGAGAAAATTTTTGCAATCTACTCATCTGACAAAGGGCTAATATCCAGAATCTACAAAGAACTCAAACAAATTTACAGGAAAAAAAATAACCCCATCAAAAAGTGGGCAAAGGATCTGAACAGACACTTCTCTAAAGAAGACATTTATGCAGCCAACAGATACATGAAAAAATGCTCGTCATCACTGGCCATCAGAGAAATGCAAATCAAAACCACAATGAGATACCATCTCACACCAGTTAGAATGGCGATCATTAAAAAGTCAGGAAACAACAGGTGCTGGAGAGGATGTGGAGAAATAGGAACACTTTTACACTGTTGGTGGGACTGTAAACTAGTTCAACCATTGTGGAAGACGGTGTGGCAATTCCTCAAGGATCTATAACTAGAAATACCATTTGACCCAGCCATCCCATTACTGGGTATATACCCAAAGGATTATAAATCATGCTGCTATAAAGACACATGCACACGTATGTGTGTTGTGGCAATATTCACAATAGCAAAGACTTGGAACCAACCCAAATGTCCAAAGACTTGGAACCAACAATGATAGACTGGATTAAGAAAATGTGGCACATATACACGATGGAATACTATGCAGCCATAAAAAAGGATGGGTTTGTGTCCTTTGTAGGGACATGGATGAAGCTGGAAACCGTCATTCTCAGCAAACTATCGCAAGAACAAAAAACCAAACACCGCATGTTCTCACTCATAGGTGGGAATTGAACAGTGAGAACACTTGGACACAGGAAGGGGAACATCACACACCGGGGCCTGTCGTGGGGTGGGGGGAGGGGGGAGGGATAGCATTAGGAGATACACCTAATGTAAATGACGAGTTAGTGGGTGCAGCACACCAACATGGCAGATGTATACATATGTAACAAACCTGCACGTTGTGCACATGTACCCTAGAACTTAAAGTATTAAAAAAAAAAGGTGTCTGATTTCCCAAGAAAGCAAATAATGAAAATAATTTTTTTAAAAAGGAATCTGAAAAAAATTTGTTACCAAAAAAATACAAACACCAAGCTGATTAGTATTATTATTAATTATTAATGTTGTTATTTCTAGCTAAAGAAAATATACTGATACATGGCATAAAAATCACCTTGTCTTTTAAAGATAATAATCTATAAAATGCAGGATATCTATAGTTATTTGCATCGTTTGAAAATATTTTAAATATTGCTCAGTAAAAGCCCAGTGCTTACAGTCAGAAATACGGTTGTAGGATTCATCAGCATGTTACAGAGGGACACTAGGGTCACCAGAGACTGATGAAGTCCCTACTGGCAATGGTGTTTATGACCATTGGTGCATTTGAGCTATGGGCCTCTCTGGCCTCAATCAAACAATATCCCAATCCTAGTCTGGAAACAGTTCAGATGTACAAGTTCATCTAGGAACATTTTAGGGTTCCATTTTTCCCAGTGACTCAGTGCACCATAAAATTTCACTGCTGGATCTCTAATACCACATTCACTGAGCTATCCAAGGAAAGGGGTTCTGTTTATTCATGAAGGATTTGTTTCCTCCAACATTTATCTGATCTCTCCTATTAGAAGTTAATTATCTAATAATGATCATCTGGCTTAAAGACTTAAAAAGACTTTATATATGTTTAATAGAACATTTTATATAATGATCATCAGGCTTAAAGACTGTAACTTTAGACAGTAAAAGTTATGTAAGGATAGGAAGCTCCTTCAGGGTGGCCTTGGCCCAGCTTAGGTAGTGGGGCAGTGGGCCAAAGGATAATATACCTGGCACTCTGAAAATAATGTGATTAGTGGAATCTTGGGGAATTGGCCAAGAGAACTTTGCCACACTTGGGACCTTTCCTTTTACTTCAGTGAGTTTGGCTATCACGTGGGATCTTGCCATCATGCCCTATCTGATTTCCAAGACCCAGACAAATACCCACCTACAGCTATACCAAAGAGAGCATGGTTTGGCCTGGCTCCAGGAAGCCCCCCTTTCTGATCACAGCTCTACCAAATATACCTCAAAGGAAGGGCACTTAATGTTTAGTTAGCAATGGTCGACCCACAAGGGCTCACATAAACCTCATGAATACTAACTTTGTAAGTTTAAGAGAAAGTACTTTCAGAAAAACAAACCTATGCAACAAGAAAAAGAAACCTCCTCTTTGGCCATTAAAGAGATTGTTGGTGAACCCCTTGATGTTAGCATGCCTCATGGGTCACGTTCCCTTCTTAGCCTTTGGATACAGTCTCACTGGGAAGCGATTCAGATTCACATGCTTCTGCAATCTTCTGGGCTCCGTGGCTCTTAATCTTCCGAAATAGAAGCCTGAGTCTACTTCCCAAAAGGCAAAGGATTGCCATTCATTTATTTATTTAGCGGTGTTTTACTATATATGTTCAAGACAGTGAGCCTGGCCTTTTGGAGGATAAAAAGAGAAATCGTACACAAATACCACCATCAAATAGTCTGAAAGTTATTTCATGGTTGACATGATACCCTAAATGCAGAAACACAAGCCGGGCCAGTGGTATCCCGGGCCTCAGGCACCACTGCGGCCCTCCTAAGTTGGCAAATGGTACAGATGTCTGTTGGTAAATGAGGATCGCTGTGCTATACGTAGGACTCTCCCACAAACCTTTATCCTGGGTCGCAGTCCCAGGATATGTGCATAGACTGTCTGCTACTGCTGGCTCCCTCCCACACATGGCCTTGCAAGAGTTGGCAGGGTGTATTCATCGGTCTTGGCACCTGTACTCACCGTAGGGACCTGGCAGTTTGTTGTTATTTTTTTTCCAAAAAGAGGAAATATCACTATAATACTAAAAATAGGTTTGGTTTTTCTTTTCTTTTTTTTTTTTGAAACGGAGTTTCACTCTTCTTGCCTAGTCTGGAGTACAATGGCATGATCTCAGCTCACTGCAACCTCTGCATCCCGGGTTCAAGTGACTCTCCTGCCTCAGCCTACCAAGTAGCTGGGATTACAGGCGCACGCCACCACGCCCAGCTAATCTTTGTATTTTTAGTAGAGATGGGGTTTTGCCATGTTGGCCAGGCTGGTCTCAAACTCCTGACCTCAGGTGATCTGCCTGCCTCGACCTCCCAAAGTGCTGGGGTTACAGCCATGAGCCACCGCGCCCAGCTATGGTTTTTCTTTATGGTTAAGTATAAGTCTATTTGAGCCCAAAGCTTGAGGATGGCCCCCCAGGAGCAAAGATTCAAATTGCCCTGAATATACATTCTGATTAGCAGCAGTTACAGTGGGTTTAAAAAAAAAAAAAAAAAAGAAAAGGCAGTTCCTAAGTTGTTTACCAAGAACTTACATTAAAGTAACATAAGCAGGGCATGTGTTCTCAGGATCTCCTGAGGGTTGTGTCACAGGCCAGATACGTTTTAAAAAAATAATAACATAAGCTATTGATTATCTATACATTGTTCTTTTTATCGCACATTCCAGGAACATGAAGCTAATGAGTGAAGCAGCTAGTCAGTAACAAAATGCCTTTAAACCATTGCCCCCCCGCCTCGTCATGGCAGGGTGGCGTGACTGAAGCCCCATACCTGTGTCTCTGGGGACCTGATAAAGTTTGAATACCTCATATAATTCAGACTTCCCCGAGTTATTTTTGTTCTCATTTCCCCTCTTTTCATCAAGATCCTTCTGGGAAAGCATCATAGATGAACAAAAATGGTTTTGGTTTCTTTTATGTTCAGGAACTTACTCTTGCATACCCAGAAGGTTCATTTCCAGATGGTCCTGTCTTGCGTGGTGGGGATGGGGGATGGGTGTTTGTATTTCACTCCCCCAAAACTCCCTGAGCACCTAACAAGAGTCCGAGGATACAAGAGAAAAGTAGCTTTGGGGTGTGTGCCACACCCCCCAATATTTTTCATCACTCATCAATGTCAGGCTGAGAGATTTCCTTACCTACTTCCTAAATTTCCCTCCTGTACTATATTTCTGTCTTTTCCTCTCCTGACCAGAATGCACACAGCATATGAAAACCATCCTTCAGGGCCTCCAAAAACATTATCTCCTCAGCCAACTGGAGAAATTCTTCCACTGGAAGAATATTGAATTCCTAGGACACACTGCCTCCCCCAGAATACTACAGACTGAATCTCAGCAAAGCATTAACAGAAAAGGATGAAGAAAAAATGATTTGTAGGCTTGGAGCCTAAGAATCTAGGGAAATGATGGGTGTCATTTACTGAACAAGTGAAAATAGAGACATGATCTGGGTTAGGAGGGGACTTTGATCTGATTTTGGACATGCTATTATGTCCCATAGCCAGGCAGTCAAGCAAAAAGACCTGCTAGGTATTTGGACATGCGCAACTGAAATTTCAATGGGAAAACAGGGCTAGCAATGTAGACTTGGAACCCTTCAACACAAAATGAGGATTGAAACCATAAACGTGAGCCTTAGGGAAAACCCACAGTAGACAAAAAGAAGAAAAAGGAGGCAGGAGAAGGACCGTCGGTTCTCTTGGAAGCCCAGATAGTTGCAAGAAGGAGGAAGTTAGTGAGACAATAAGACAAGGAAGCCCATGAATTTGACAATAAGGAAGTTATCAGCAACTTAGGAAAGAAAATGTTCAATAGAGTAGTAAAGTGTACCCAACTCTGAAAAGTGGGCTTTGTCCTGTCCAACCTCCTCAGCACCACCTCCTGTCAAATAATGTCACTCCACTGAACAAAGATGTAAATCTTAAATCTGTGAATTACACATGAATGGACTGCCCTTCTCACTAATCGAGTCTTGCCAGCTAAATCCCATTTCTTTTTCATCTAAACAAGCACGTAACCTTTACAAACCTCATTTTCCTCATCAGTAAACTTCCAGCTCCACAGTTTTTGGATCCTTTCATCATTGTACCAGTTGGTACTCTGGAGAAAGGCTATAAACCTAGAAGGGTCTATAGAGATCTATTTGGGTCCTGGCCTATAGAGGAATGAATGAGTGAATGAATGAATGAATGAATGAATGAAATCCAGTTGGGTTTATTTCACTGATTTCTCCTTTCCTGACTTTGAAATCCTGTGGCCCTTACTTCATTGTCTGGGTTTTCTTTCAATAACTTCTTCCCCAGGGTTTATTCATGCCAGCCTCCCACCTGCCACTTTTCCAGACAGAAGAAAATATCCTAAGAAAACATCAGCTGCATCCCTGATGCCCTTCTCCTGTGGCTCACCTGCGTGATTCTTGGCCATGTCTCCAGCAGGACAGGTTTCCCTGGCATTCTTCCTCTCTGTTGTGCCTCACCTCAGCATCTTCTTTCAGCATGGGATTGTTTCCATAACTTCACTCTGAGAGCATCTGGAGGCATTTCGTCAAATCATGAAGCTGTACCAGTCTCTAGGGTAACAGGTTTTATAGCTGACCCTCAGGTTGGTTCTGATGTTCCATAGTAACGATAGTGCTAAGGTTTGGAGCGTCCTTCATGGAAAAGAACATCTGCTTAGTTTCAGCTAAAAGATGCATGTTATAACAAGTTCCATAGACTCTTACACTCTTCTCCATTTACTCCTAATCATACTTTGGCAGTATGCATTTGGAGCTGCAATATAGATGCCCTGATGTTTAAAAAAAGAAAAGTAGAAGGCTATTTTATAAAATTATAGGCAATGAAGTTAACTGCAGCTAAAGTGGTGCTTTTTTTTTTTTTTTTTTTTTTTTTGAGATGGAGTCTCACTCTGGTGTCCAGGCTGGAGTGCAGTGGTGTGATCTTGGCTCACTGCAACCTCCACCTCCTGGGTTCCAGCGATTCTCCTGCCTCAGCCTCCTGAGTAGCTGGGACTACAGGTGCACGTCACCACACCCAACTAATTTTTGTTGGTTTTTTGGGGGAGGTAGAGATGGGATTTCATTATGTTGGCCAAGCTGGTCTCGAACTCTTTTTTTTTTTGGAGACAGAGTCTCGCTCTTGTTGCCCAGGCTGGAGTGCAATGGCACGATCTCGGCTCACCGCAGCCTCCACCTCCCAGGTTCAAGTAATTCTCCTGCCTCAGCCTCCCAAGTAACTGGAATTACAGGCATGCACCACTACACCCGGCTAATTTTTTTTGTATTTTCAGTAGAGACGGGGTTTCTCTACGTTGGTCAGGCTAGTCTCGAACTCCTGACCTCAGGTGATCCACCCACCTCAGCCTCCCAAAGTGCTGGGATTACAGGTATGAGCCACAGCACCTGCCCAGTCTCAAACTCTTGACTTCAAGTGATCAGCCTGCCTCAGCCTCCCAAAGTGTTGCTACCGTGCCCAGTCAAGTGGTACTTTGTTAAATATTTTTTTTATTACAACAGCTTTTGGGGTACAAGTGGTTTTTGGTTACATGGATGAGTGATTTAGTGGTGAATTCTGACATTTTGGTGCACCCGTCACCCAACTAGTGTACATTGCACCCAATATGTAGTTTTTTATCCTTCACGCCCCTCCCAACCTCTCCCTTCTGAGGCTCCATAGTCCATTATATCACTCTGTGTGTTTTTACATACTCATAGCTTAGCTCCCACTTATAAGTGAGAACACACAGCATTTGGTTTTCTATTCTTGAGCTACCCCACTTAGAAAAGTAGCCTCCAGGTCCATTCAGGTTGCTGCAAAAGATATTCCATTCCTTTTTATAGCTGAGTAGTATTCCATGGTGTATATATACTACCACGTTTTCTTTATTCACTCATTGGTTGATGGGCACTTAGGTTGGTTCTGTATCTTTGCAGTTGTGAACTGGGCTGCAGTAAACATATGTGTGCGTGTGTCTTTTTCATATAATGACTTCTTTTCCTTTGGGTAGATACCCGGTAGTGGGATTGCTGGATCAAATGGTAGGTCTACTTTTGGTTCTTCAAAGAATCTCCATCCTATTTTCCATAGTGGTTGTACTAATTTACTTTCCCACCAGCAGTGTATAAGCATTCCCTTTTCACCACATCCATGCCAAAGTATATTGTTTTTGGATATTTCAATAATGACGATTCTTGCAGGGGTAAGGTGGTATCTCATTGTGGTTTTGATTTGCATTTCCCTGATGGTTAGTGATGTTGAGCATTTTTTCATATGTTTGTTGGCCATTTGTATATCTTCTTTTGAGAAATGTCATGTCATTTGCTAAAGTGGCACTTTTATTATAATAAGGATCCATGCCAGCTCACCAGCTCTGCACAGATGGCTAACCATAAACCCTTCAGTACTTTTATTATTATGTATTATTAATTTAAATGTATATATAATTTTCTGTTAATTGCTTTCACATTGGAAATTTCAACTCCAATTTTTAACCTGCTCAGACCTCAGAAAATCAAGAGAGATTCTAGGAGACTCTCAGATCTGTAGCCACCCCAGGACATCCCAAGTGTGCAGAAGATACGGCAGTCTATTCTTGGGCCCTTTGAAGGTCTAACTAACCTGAGGATGCTGGCTGCCTACCCTTCTTTCCACAGCAGCTCACCACCCAGGAAAATAGCCCTGGGCAGACCATCCTCTGTAGGACCTCATGACTAAGTCACCCTCAGCCATCCTTCTCATTCTCAGCATTAGTGACATTCGGGGCCAGTTAACTCTCTTTTTGCAAGTAGTTGTTGTATGTGTTATAGAAAAACATATGTGTTTTTTTGGTAGAGATGGGATTTCACTATGTTGGCCAATGTTGGCCAAGCTGGTCTCGAATTTTTTTTTTTTTTTTTGAGACGGAGTTTCACTCTTGTTTCCCAGGCTGGAGTGCAATGGCACGATCTCGGCTCACCGCAACCTCCGCCTCCCAGGTTCAAGCGATTCTCCTGCCTCAGCCTCCCAAGCAGCTGGAATTACAGGCATGCACCACCACACCTGGCTAATTTTTTTTGTATTTTTAGTAGAGACAGGGTTTCTCCATGTTGGTCAGGCTGTTAAGGATGTTTAGCAGCATCCTTAACTTTACCCACTAAGCACCAGTAGTAGCCTCTACTCTCAGGGCCCTAGCAGGTAAAATTGCCCCCTTGTTAATTGGAAGCCCTGCTCTGAGTCCAGAGAACCTTTCCCTGTGATACAAATATGCGCCTCCACGGCATTCTCAGAACCCCTTATTCTGAGGTTTGGCTATCGGAAGGGTGGGCCCCACAGATCCCTCCTCTGCACGTATTTCCTGCTTCTGCTGATGCCGTTATCAGCACCCACCATATCCCTGCCAGCCATCGCCAGCCTCCTGCTCTTCCCTCTCAGTTGCCAACTTCAAGTCCATTTTTTCTCCCAAAAGTTGCTCTCCCTCTTTCTATTCCTATACCCCATTCCAGCCTCCATTATCTGTCACCGGGTTTTGGAAAAGCCACTTTATTGATAGAACCCCTGTCTCCTGTCTCTCGTTTCTCAGTCCCTCTGTGCCATTGCCCAGAGCTTGATTCCTGAGCACAGACCAGACTGGCCACATCCCTCCCCTCCTTAGAAACCTTCACCGGCTCCTCTTGCCTTTGCCTGTAGCAGGAGTCAGCAGGCATTTTCTTAAAAGATTAGACAGTAAATATTTCAGGCTTTCCAGGCCAAACCAGATATTATGTAGGTACTATATAACCATTTAAAATGTAACCATTAAAAAATGTAAAAATCATTCTTGGCTCATGGTCTGTTGAAAAAAAAAACAACAACAAAACAAAAAGCAAAACTGGTGGTGGAAAAAAAATAGAACATTTTATTTATTTATTTATTTAGAGATGGAGTCTTGTTCTGTCACCCAGGGTGGAGTGCAGTGGCACAATCTTGGCTCTCTACAACCTCCGTTTCCCAGTTCAAGTGATTCTCCTGCCTCAGCCCCCCGAGTAGCTGGGATTACAGGTGCCCGCAGCCACAACCAGCTAATTTTTGTATTTTTAGTAGAGACGGGGTTTCACCATGTTGGTCAGGCTGGTCTTGAACTCCTGACCTCAAGTGATCTGCCCGCCTCAGCCTCCCAAAGTGCCAGAATTACAGGCGTGAGCCACCACACCCCGCCAGAACATTTTATTTTTAATGGTGGTTAGTCGGGCCAGGCATGGTAGCTCACGCCTATAATCCCAGCACTTTGAGAAGCCGAGGCAGATGGATCACTTGAGCCCAGGCATTTGAAATCAGCCTGGGCAACATGGCAAAATTTCATCTCTACAAAAAATACAGTAATTAGCCAGGCATGGTGTCAGCTACCCAGGAGGCTGAGGTGGGAGGATTACTTGAGCCCAGGAGGTCAAGGCTGTGGTGAGCCATGATCTTGCCACTGCACTCCAGCCTGAGTGCACTCCAGACAGAGCAAAACTCTTGTCTCAAAAAATAAGAAACAAAAAAAATAATAATGGTGGCGAGTTGGATTTTCCACGGGTTGTGTAGTTTTCCTATCTGTGGCCTATTATTTTTTAGTTTTTGAGACAGAGTTTCACTCTTGTCACCCAGGCTGGAGTGCAATGGCACGATCTCGGCTCACTGCAACCTCTGTCTCCCAGGTTCAAGCGATTCTCCTGCCTCAGCCTCCCGAGTAGCTGGGATTACAGTCGCGTGCCACCACGCCTGGCTAATTTTTGTATTTTTAGTAGAGATGGGGTTTCACCATGTTGGCCAGGCTGGTCTTGAACTCCTGACTGCAGGTGATCCACCCACCTCAGCCTCCCAAAGTGTTAGGATTACAGGTGTGACCCACCGTGCCCAGCCCTTATCTGTGGCCTATTAAATAAACTCTGCAGCTGCTCATTTACATCTCTGGCTGCTCACCGCCGACACTTCTCCTTTCCTGCTACAGGTCTTCCCTGCTCCCCACACTCCAGCTTCACCGCCCCGTCTCACCCCCAGTACAGCCTCCTCTCCAGCCCAGTGCCTCAGTCATGCACTTTCCCCCGCCTGGTTTGCCCTTCCCAAGCCTCTTCTGCCCATTGCAGTTGTACCCGTCGAGATACTCTCAGCTGCCACCTCTTCTACCAAACTTAACCCTGTTCCATAACGTCAGGCCAGGCTGCTTTTCCTCTGTTTCTCTGCTGTGGCACCTGTTACATCCCGTTTGGTGTGCTGGTTGCATACGTACCTGACTCCCTCGGGATAGGCCTGCTGAGAGTGGAGATATTGCCTCAGCTGCATAGCCCCCTACCCCTAACACCTTTCAAAGTAGAAGAACAACAGGTGTCACTCTATGGAGCCAAGTGTGGGGGGTGTTTCATGATCATCCTCACCAACCTGTGAGGTAGATATTGTTATCCCCACTGTACATATGAAGAACCTTAGGTGCAGAGAGGTTAGGTAAGTTGCCCAAGATCACACAGCTAGTAAATGGCAGCTGGAATCCAAACTAGGTTCCTCTAGGCTGGGCACAGTGGCACACGCCTGTACTCCCAGCTACAAGGGAGGCTGATGTGGGAGGATTGCTTGAGGCCAGGAGTTTAAGACCAACCCTGGCAACATAGCAAGACCCTATCTCAAAAAACAAACAAACAAACTAGGTTTATCCAACTGCAAAGCCTGGACTCTAACCACTATGTTACATATAACAGGGACTTAACAAAGTGCAGAGTGTCATTGTTGAATAAGGGTGCCATACCTCACCACACAAATTTGGCTTACCCATAAGTAACATTTAAATTAGACTCATAGAATTTTAAAACCCCACTGATAGGTCCCAGCTGGCTTCCTGCTAATAGATTTAGCTGTCTGAATAAGGACCACATCCTCCTGAGAACCTAGCCTAGTTTCTGTTTCTAGTATGCTATCTGAGTGTTCAGCATTCATTGTATAGGTATTTTTCTCTTGGTTGGTGAGGTCTCTCATCATTTTGCAGAGAACTGGCTTTGAAATCTTGCAGTGAAGACTAGTGGGATACGGGCCAGGCACAGTGGCTCATGCCTGTAATCCCAGCACTTTAGGAGGCCGAGGCAGGTGGATCACTTGAGGTCAGGAGTTCGAGACCACCCTGGCCAACATGGCGGAACCCCATCTCTACTAAAAATACAAAAATTAGCGGGGTGTGGTGGCGGGCGCCCGTAATCCCAGCTATTCTGGAGGCTGAGGCACAAGAATCGCTTGAACCCAGGAGGCGGAGGTTGCAGTGAGCCGAGATTGCGCCACTGCGCTCCAGCCTGGGTGACAGAGCAAGACTCTGTCTCAAAAAAAAAGACTACTGGGATACCATTTTCAAATAGGGCTAGGCAAACTGGGAGAAACAAACAGAAAGGAGGTAATTCTAGTCTTGGAATTTATGAGTTTCTCTATCTAAAAGTTTACTTTCCAATTTTCTTTTTATCTACAGATTTATCTTGAGTTTTAATAGGTTGTTCTTTGTCCCAGAAATTTAATACACCTTCTTCCTTCTACTAAGAAAGATAATTGTACACCTTGCCCTCACTCTTTAATTCTTAGCATAAGCTTTGTCTTCTATATAATTTAGTGTAACTTGAATAGGGACAGAATCATGAAGATTGAGAACCCTAACTTTCTGCCATTGGCAACACCGTGATCACAAATCATCCAGCAGTCCTAGAATAGCTGCTTCCTGTCTTACCGCAGCTTGCCTCACCAGCCATCACAGTGAGTGACAGGTTATGCATGAGCCCTGAGGTTTCTGACATGATATGGAAACAAACAGGTGTCACCCCTCTGCAGAGAGACCCCATGGCAGACTTTCTGGTGGCCTCATCCTTCCAACAGACACATAATAGGTAAATGTGTGTTAGCGGTGGTGAGAGACTTCATAAAACTCTTTAGCCCCTCTCTCCAGTGTCTAGAAGCCAAGTTCATCTTTAAAAGACTCCACTTTCATGCTGACCAAGGGTGTTGAAAAAAATAGAAAATAAGAATAAATAAAAGACTCCGCAGCACTTAAGCTTGCAGGTGGGCGCCTCTGCTAAGCAGGGAAGGTGTCCAGGCACATTCATTGCCTGCTTCCTTGCTCACGGCCATTGGGTTGCCTCTCTCCTTCACCCTCATTCTCCATTCTCTGAGCACTTCCATTGCCAGTCCTAACTCCCAATAGTCTTAACTCTTGTCGTGTGAGGCGGTTATTTCCAACTCTCACAGCAGGACAGACAGTGCAGCATCAGATAGCCCCATCACCTCTCCCTCGTTTCACGTCCACTTTGATGAGACAGCTGCATCTTCCTAGCATGGTCACCACCAGCACCAGCTCAAAATAGTTATGTGGGGTTTTTAACTTTTTCTTGAAGAGAAAAATGGACAAAGGCTGTTCTCTACATATCCCAGTTCTCTATACATTCACGGTTGCCTAAATTTCAGACTTGCAGCAACTCTCTCCCATCATTGTTTTTTGTTTCTCTGAGAGGGCCTCTGAAAATCGGCAGCAAAGAGACCACTTTGTTTAATTTAAATACACGGCAGCAAAATGAAGGTAATTGTCCACACAGGCCATCTGCTACCTGGCAGGTGTCCATGAGTCAGGGAGATAGAAATGGAGACTAAAGTGTCTTCCATTCTGTTACCATGATAACAGCTTAGCTCCAAGTTGTAGTTGCGTGTGCGTGTGGAGGGGGATGCAGTTATGAATGCTCTGCAGAGGGCATTAACTCTTAAAGTCAGGCCTTTTGCCACAAGTCTCTCTGGCCTTGTTTACCTGACTATAATGTGTGCCAGGAGGATTAAAAATTCTTCCCTATTCCATGAGGAAAAAGAAAGAAGGGAAGTCCTATTTTTGGAGCCCCTACTAAGTGCCAGGCATCATGCTGGGGCCACCCAAGCATGGCCAAGAACAGTGCAGTATCATTTTCCTACTAAAGACACTGCCTTTCTCTCCGTGCAGCTGGTCTCCTGGCCAGTTCTCTCTGCCACAGCATGTGCGTCCCTGCCTCTGTGCTCAGATGCAGAGCTGGTGAAGGATCCCCGTGTCCTCAGGGCACCTTCTCTGGCATTTTCTATACCTGTTTTGGCTCCAACAAGAGATTGTTTTTATACATAAGAGATTTTCATAATCCCTGTATTCTCCTTTCTCACATTTCCTTACTGGGAATGAAATTGACTGTCCCCTGGAAAATCACGGTTAGTGTCAGTCATCAGAAGTCTTGACTGATCCATGTTCCTTTTAGTCTCAGAAACATTGTGCTGTGATCCCAATATGCTTAGTTTTCCGCCAGCAGTTTGAGGCAATTAGCAGACCCAGGGACCAGTCCTAGCCTGTCTACTGATTTTGTGTGTGACCTTGTGACCTCTCTTGACCTCAGCCTCCTCAAATGAAAAATGAATGTTGGACTAAAACAAGCTAGTTTGCTGGGGTCATGAACCCTCTGATTTTGTAATTTCTGAACACTTTTCTTGGAACATGATGCAGAGCTTTCTCGGGTTCTCAGGGTCTTTGCTGATTTGAAAATGAAGAGCCAGCAGTCTAGAGAGCTTATCAGATTGTAATGTTTCACTGGCTCTACATTTGCAACAGAATTGTTTCCAACTGTTATACAAGGGACCTCTGTATTGAGAGAACCTGAGTCACAGGGCATTTATTGTGTTTAGTTATTGGTTAGACCCATGATTGGCCTGTGCTGGACTCAAGCCTTTGTTACAGCTTGTACTACAACAAGATTCCACTCCTTATATCAGGAAACCTTAAAACACTGAGTAGCACATTGCAGAGCTTCCCTTGCTTCTCCAGGCGAATTGCCCTCTCCTGGCAGCTGAAACCCAGAGGCACAAGAGTCTTTTGTGCCTATCATTGGACAACATATCCCCATCCTTGGAGCCACCTGACTAGTTGCTCTACCTTTGCAGATTTCTAGGTGTTTCTCAGGTTTCCTGTAATCTCAGGGTGCCAACTGTGATGCCTCCCCCTCCCCAAGTCTCCCACTGTGCCGCGTATTCTAGACTGGTTCGCGTTGAGCGGAGTGTTCAGCAGTCTCCATGGAGAAGGGCCTGCCTCTCTGAACATAAAGCCCATCTGTGCTTTTGAGACGAGGTGCATTTGCACAGTGCGGTGCTCCATCTTGATTTTTAGTGTGTTCTGTCTGGCCTGTGCCTATCAAGTAAACAGAAGGAACAAACTCCAGCCAGATTCAGAGGTGATTGTCAGCATGTCAGGAATGTTGCTGTGCACAGAAGGTTTCTCAGACTGCATGTGCGCCACACACTCCAGTTTGTACTTATTTAGTTAGAAGGACCTTATTTCAGACTCTTTCCTGAGATAGTTCCATCTTATACAGAGTATCCTGCTCCCTACACCTCCTCATCAGCATCATCTGTACAAGGCCTACGTGGCCAGCAGCTGTGGTACGGACTCCACTTGTGAGAAAGGAAAGTTAGAAGCAGAATATGCCATGACGTGACCGAGATGCTGCTGGGACCCCAGAAGAGCATTCCTCACTGACAGAATGGTCAGAACTGAAGCAAAGTGTTGGTTCTTGCCATGTCTGAGACGAGGTTAACTTAGCGAAGATCATAGGTCACAGAATTTTATATCTGAAAAATACAGTTTTTATCCCAGACAAGTGATATCCCACTTGTCTGATTCATTAGCAGCGAGTCACTAGGCCTAGCCCACATTGAAGGGGAGGAGACTCCACCCGGATATGAATGCAGGGGAGGGTCCCTTGGGGCCATCTCAGAGGTCTGGTGACCACATTTGCTTATCTAGTTAAAGTATCTCACATAAAGATTCACTGGTTGGCTGGGCCCAGCACTCCTGTAATCACAGCACTTTGGGAGGCTGAGGTGGGCAGATCACATGAGAACAGGAGTTCAAGACCAGCCTGGCCAACATGGCAAAACTCCATCTCTACTAAAAATACAAAAATTAGCCAGATGTGGTGGTGCATGTCTGTAATCCCAGCTACTCAGGAAGCTGAGGCACGAGAATCACTTGAACCCAGGAGGTGGAGGTTGCAGTGAGCCAAGATCACACCACTGTGCTCTAGCCTGGGAAACAGCAAGATCCTGTCTAAAAAAAAAAAAAAGGTCAGGGGCGATGGCTCACGCCTGTAATCCCAGCACTTTGGGAAGCCAAGCGAGGCAGGTGGATCATGAGGCCAAGAGATTGAGACTATCCTGGCCAACATGGTGAAACCCCATCTCTACTAAAAATACAAAAATTAGCTGGGCATGGTGGTGCACGCCTGTAGTCCCAGCTACTCAGGAGGCTGAGGCAGGAGAATCATTTGAACCCAGGAGGCAGAGGTTGCAGTGAGCCGAGATCGCGCCACTGCACTCCAGCCTGGTGACAGAGAGATTCCGTCTCAAAAAAGAAAAGATTCACTGACGACTGATAGATGTATTACTTCCTGGAGATTACTACCTGCTCCAGCACTTTTCCTGCTCTTTTCCACTTTTCATTACAGAAGAAAAAGGGCCAAAAATGTGATGCACTTCATTGTCATTTAACAAGTATTTATTAAGAATTTACCTGTGCTGAGCACAGGGATTCAGAGGATGGAATTTAAGAAGTGAGATAGTGCTGTGATGGAGACACACAAGATTCCGTGGGAGTATCTCAGAAAGACATTGTCTCATCCTAGAGGAGATAGTAGTGAGACTGATGCCCAGGGGACCAGCAGGAGCCAATCAGACAGCATGGGGGAGAGTAGTGCTCCCAGCAGAGGGAGTGGCAAGAGAGAGCAGAGTCCCATCAACAGAGTCAAGTGTGGATGGGCCCACACTTTTGCTTTTTTGTCAAAACCACCAAGGAACAGAGTTGGTTGACATCCCTTGCGTGATGTATATCTCATCCAAGATCGGCTCCGGTCTCCAGGCTTCCTGAACCCTTAGCCTCAGGCCTGGCGAAAGCCCATGCATATTGGTGAGCTATCACTTGTGCCTCTGACCCACCCAGGATTGCAAACTGGTATTACCCTACACAAACCAGAATTCACGGAGGGCCCTGACAGCTCTGTCCTGGCTTCATTTTCATCCAGTGTGATCCTAACGCCAAGGGCTGGGGCATAAGACCCATGGAGAAATAACACCTGCCCAGGAGTCGTAGCTTTTCTCTTTCAACTGCTCTGAACAAACACAACTTCTAGAATCTGGTTTTTATCTTCCTCAGAAGGCATGCCCTAGGTAATGATCCCAGGAAGAGGGTCTGATTATTTCCAGGCTGATGGTGGGCAGGAGGTTTCACTTCCAGATACTAGAGCTTTAGACACATGTGGCTGGCCACCCTGCCTACCCCTCTTGTCTCATCCCCCATCATCATTTCAATATCAAAGTATTTGCAAAGGTTCAGTGTCATGCTGTTATGAAGCAGCCTGGATGTTCACCTGGGTCCTATGACTCTGATGTGCGGTCCTCAGGCCATGGTGCCTGGCCCAGATCATGCAGAGGGAGATTCCTGAGTCCTCGCCATATGTTTAATGCTGGCTGGGCCATCTGTCTTACAGTGAAGTGTGTTAGCATTTCAGAGGTCATTCTTTTTTTTTTTTTTTTTTTTTTTTGAGACAGTCTTGCTCTGTCACCCAGGCTGGAGGGCAGTGGCAGGATTTTGGCTCACTGCAAGCTCCACCTCCTGGGTTCAAGCGATTCTCCTGCGTCAGCCTTCTGAGTAGCTGGGATTATAGGCATGCGCCACCATGCCCAGCTAATTTTTGTATGTTTAGTAGAGACAGGGTTTCGCCATGTTGGCCAGGCTGGTCTCAAACTCCTCACCTTAGGTGATGCACCTACCTCGGCCTCCCAAAGTGCTGGGATTACAGGCATGAGCCACCGGGCCCGGCCCATTTTTGTTCTTTAAGTGGATTTAATTTCCATCTTGAGTTCCTACGCTGTCTGAACTGGTCACTTAATCTAGGCATTTCCAGGCAAACTCGAAACCAGCCCTCAGAGATTCTTATCCTGCTTCCTGTGCCCTGAGATTTGCCTATTCTGGACATTTTATATAAATGGGATCATACGATATGTGGTCTTCTGTGACTGGCTTCTGTGACTGGCTTCTTGCACGTAGCATACTGTTTTCTTTCTTTTTTTTTTTTTTTTTTGAGACAGAGTCTCTTTCTGTCATCCAGGCTGGAGTGCAGTGGCGCTATCTCAGCTCACTGCAGCCTCTGCCTCCCAGATTCAAGCAATTCTTCTCCCTTGGCCTCCTGAATTGATGGACATTTGAATTGTTTTTACTTTTTGGCTATGTCGAATAACGCTGCTATGAACATTTGGGTTCAGATTTTTGTGTGGACATGTTTTCATGTCTCATGGATATATACCTAGGAATGGAATTGCTGCCAGTCTGTCCAAAGCAGCTGCACTATTTTACTTTTTTTTGGGTGGGGGAGGTGGGGGTGTGGGGGTGGTATTTGGTCTTTATTCCGTAGATGGCTTAAAGAAATTCAGTTATCTAAAATCTCAGGACAAATTTATCCCTTTTATCTTATATTCAATTCAGAAATTGTTGAGATTTTCCTAGAATCACAGTCTGCAAATACATGACAGTGAAGGATTGGAAGGTGGTAATAGGAAAAGTAGCTGGGGAGACAAAACAGTGCCCAGACTGAGGTTTTAATGTTAGGAAAAAAGAACATTAATGATACTGCAGAATGGTCACAAGAGCTATCCCTAGCACCAGTCTTTTTTTTTTTTTTTTTTTTTTTAGTTCCTTTTATTAATTTCAATAGGTTTTGGGGGAACATGGCGGGAGGGGCAGATTTGGTTACATGGATAAGTTCTTTAGTGATTTCTGAGGTTTTGGTGCCCCCGTCACCCAAGCAGTGTACACTGTACCCAATGTGTAGTCTTTTATCCCTCACCCCCCTCCCACCCTTTCCCTCAAGTCCCAAAAGTCCAGTGTATCATTCTTTTTTTTTTTCCTCCTGAGACAGTGTCTTGCTCTGTTGCCTAGGCTGGAGTGCAGTGACACAATCTCAGTTCACTGCACCCTCCGCCTCCTGGGTTCAAGGGATTCTCCTGCCTCAGCCTCCCAAGTAGCTGGTATTACAGACATGAACCACCACATCTGGCTAATTTTTGTATTTTTAGTAGAGATGGAGTTTCACCATGTTGGCCAGGCTGGTCTCGAACTCCTGTCCTCAAGTGATCCGCCCATCTTGGCCTCCCAAAGTGCTGGGATTGCAGACCAGTGTATCATTCTTACACCTTTGCATTCTCATAGCTTAGCTCCCACTTATGGATAAGAACAACGATGTTTGGTTTTCCATTCCTGAGTCACTTCACTTAGAATAATGGTCTCCAGTTCCATCCAGGTTGCTGTGAATGCCATTGTTTTGTTCCTTTTTATGACTGAATAGTATTCCATGGTATGCATTTACCACATTTTCTTTATCCACTCGTTGATTGATGGGCATTTGGGCTGGTTCCATATTTTTGCAATTGTGAATTGTCCTAGCACCAGTCTTCAGGAGGGAGGGAGGGAATATTTAATTACAGCTCCTTATATGTAATTCTGGGCTACATTTTTTAACTTGTCTATTAATCCTTTTATAATATTCCATATTATGTAAGAGAAAACTAAGATTCAGTAGGATTAATTTATTTACTCAAAGAAAATGTTGAAATAAGAATGCAAATTCCATCTCTAGTGCTTTCTTCACAACATAAATTTTTATCTAGCTTCCTTGCTCACTGGAAGTACCTTTATCAATTACATGAGAAATACCTACAAATCAGTTGCAATGATTTATTCATGTATTAATTTGTTTAATCATGATTTTGTCACATAGATTTTGAATATTTGCTATTGCTAGAAACTGATGCTGATGTGGTTAGAGAGATGTATGTAAATATTTAAATATACATAAATATATATTTATATTTATATTTATGTATATATTGTGATTTATATATTTATGTACATAAATATACATGTATATTATGTAATTGGTATATTTATGTGTATTTATGTATTTACAAATATGTATACTGTGATTTATATATTTATGTATACATATTATGTGATACATAAACTTTTAAATTTTTTAATTTTTTTATTTCAATAGGTTTTTGGGGAACAGGTAGTATTTGATTACATGAATAAGTTTGTTAGTGGTGATTTCTGAGATTTTGGTGTACCCATCATCCAAGCAGTGTACACTGTACCCCATGTGTAGTCTTTTATCCTTTTCCACACCCCACCCTTTCCCCGAGTCCCCAAAGTCCAATATATCATTCTTAGGCCTTTGTGTCCTCATAGCTAAGCTCCCACATATGAGTGAGAATGTACAATGTTTGGTTTTCCATTCCTGAGTTACTTCACTTAGAAAAATAGTCTCCAATTCCATCCAGGTGGCTGTGAATGCCATTATTTCATTCTTTTTTATAGCTGAGTAGTATTCCATGGTGTATCTATCCCATTTGTTTTACCCACTCATTGATTGATGGGCATTTGGGCTGGTTCCATATTTTTGCAATTGCAAATTGTGCTGCTATAAACATGCGTATGCAAGTATCTTTTTTGTATAATGACTTACTTCCCTGTAGGTAGATACCTAGTAATGGGATTGCTGGATCAAACAGTAGATCTACTTTTAGTTCTTTAAGGAATCACCACACTGTTTTTCATAGTAGTTGTACTAGTTTACATTCCCACCAACAGTGTAAAAGTGTTCCTTTTTCACTGCATTCACACCGACATCTATTATTTTTTGAGCTTTTTATTGCCATTCTTGTAAGAGTAAGGTGGTATTGCATTGTAATTTTGATTTGCATTTCCCTGATAATTAGTAATTTGAGCATTTTTCCATATACTTGTTGGCCATTTGTATACCATCTTTTGAGAATTTTCTATTCATGTCCTTAGCCCACTTTTTTATGGGATTATTTTTTTCTTGCTGATTTGTTTTCTTTGTAGATTCTGAATATTAGTCCTGTGTCAGATGTATAGTTTGTGAAGATTTTCTTCCACTCTGTGGGTTGTTTGTTAACTTTGCTGATTATTTCTTTTGCTGTGCAGAAGCTATTTAGTTTAATTAAGTCCCATCTATTTATCTTTGTTTGTTGCATTTGCTTTTGGGTTCTCGGTCATGGAGTCTTTGCCTAAGCCAATGTCTAGAAGGGTTTTTCCAATGTTATCTTCTAGAATCTTTATGGTTTCAGGTCTTAGATTTAAGTCTTTGATCCAACCTGAGTTGATTTTTGTATAAGGTGAGAGATGAGGATCCAGTTTCATTCTTCTATGTGTCTTGCCAGTTATCTCAGCATCATTTGTTAAGTAGGGTGTCCTTTCCCCATTTTTTGTTTTTGTTTGCTTTGTCAAAGATCAGTTGGGTGTAAGTATTTGGCTTTATTTCTGGGTTCCCTATTGTGTTCCATTGGTGTATGTGCCTATTTTTATACCAGTACCATGCTGTTTTGATGACTGAGGCCTTATAGCATAGTTTGAAGTTGAGTAATGTGATGCCTCCAGATTTATTCTTTTTGCTTAGTCTTGCTGTGGCTATGTGGGCTCTTTTTTGGTTCCATATGAATTTAAGGGTTGTTTTTTCTAGTCCTGTGAGGAATGATGGTGGTATTTTGATGGGAATTGCATTGAATTTGTAGATTGCTTTTGGCAGTATGATTATTTTCACAATATTGACTCTACCCATCCATGAGCATGGGATGTGTTTCCATTTGTTCATGTCATCTATGATTTCTTTCAGCAGTGTTTTATAGTTTTCCTTATAGAGGTCTTTCATATCCTTAGTTAGGTATATTCCTAAGTATTTTATTTTATTTTATTTTATTTTTTGCAGGTATTCTGAAAGGGGTTGAGTTCTTGATTTGATTCTCAGCTTGGTCGCTGTTGATATATAGCAGAGCTACTGATTTGTGTACAATAATTTTGTATCCTGAAACTTTGCTGAATTCATTTACCAGTTCTAGGAGCTTTTTGGATGAGTCTTTAGAATTTTCTAGGTATACAATCATATAATCAGCAAACAGTGACAGTTTGACTTCCTCTTTACCGATTTGGATGCCCTTTCTTTCTTTCTCTTGTCTGATTGCTCTGGCTAGGACTTCCAGTACTATGTTGAATAGAAGTGGTGAAAGTGAGCATCCTTGTCTTGTTCCAGTTCTCAGGGGGAATGCTCTCAACTTTTCCCTGTTCAGTATAATATTGGCTCTGGGTTTGTCATAGATGGCTTTTATTACATTAAGGTATGTCCCTTCTATGCCAGTTTTGCTGAGGGTTTTAGTCATAAAGCGATGCTGGATTTTGTCTAATGCTTTTTCTGCATTTATTGGATCATGTGATTTTTGTTTTTAATTCTGTTTATGTGGTATATCACATTTATTGACTTACGTATGTTAAACCATCCCTGTGTCCCTGGTATGAAACCCACTTGATCATGGTGGATTATCTTTTTGATATGCTGTTGGATTTGGTTCACTAGTATTTTTTTGAGGATTTGTGCATCAGGGATATTGGTCTGTAGCTTTCTTGTTTTGTTATGTCCTTCCCTGGTTTTGGTATTAGGGTTATACTGGCTTCGTAGAATGATTTACGCAGGATTCCCTCTTTTTCTATCTTTTGCAATAGTGTCAGTAGGATTGGTACCAATTCTTCTTTGAATGTCTGATGGAGTTCAGCTGTGAATCCATCTGGTCCTGGACTGTTTTTTGTTGGCAATTTTTTTTATTACCATTTCAATCTCACTGCTTGTTATTGGTCTATTCAGATATTCTGTATCTTCCTGGTTTAATCTAGGAGGATTGTATATTTCCAGGAATTTATCCATTTCCTCTAGGTTTTCTAGTTTATGCATGTAAAGGTGTTCATGGTAACTTTAAATCTTTTGTATTTCTGTGGTATCAGTAGTAGTAGCTCTCGTTTCGTTTCTATTTGAGCTTATTTGGATCTTCTCTCTTCTTTTCTTGGTTAATCTTGCTAATGGTCTATCAATTTTATTTATCTTTTGAAAGAACCAGCTTTTGGTTTCATTCACTCACTCATTCATTCATTCATTCATTCATTTTTGAGATGGAGTCTCACTCTGTTGCCCAGGCTGGTGTACAGTGGTGTGATCTCAGCTCACTGCAGCCTCCACCTCCCGGGTTCAAGAGATTCTCCTGCCTCAGCCTCCCGAGTAGCTGGGATTACAGGTGCGTGCCACCACACCCTGTTAATTTTTGTTTTTTTCAGTGGAGATGGGGTTTCACCATGTTGCCCAGGCTGGTCTCGAACTCCTGACCTCAAGTGATCCACCCACCTTGGCCTCCCAAAGTGCTGGGATTACAGGCGTGAGCCACCGTGCCTGGCCTGTTTCATTTATCTTTTGTATTGTTTTGTGTGTATGTGTTTCAGTTTCATTTAGTTCTGCTCTGATCTTCGTTATTTCTCTTCTGCTGGGTTTGGGCTTGGATTGTTCTTGTTTCTCCAGTTCTGTGAGGTGTGACCTTAGATTGTCTGTGCTCTTTCAGACTTTTTGATGTAGGCATTTAATGCTATGAACTTTCCTCTTAGCATCACTTTTTCCGTATCCCAAAGGTTTTGATAGATTCTGTCACTATTATTCAGTTCAAAGAATTTTTAAATTTCCATCTTGATTTCATTGTTGATCCAACCATCATTCAGGAGCAGATTATTTAATTTCCATGTATTTGCATGGTTTTGAGGGTTCCTTTTGGAGTTGCTTTCCAATTTTATTCTAATGTCGTCTGATAGAGTGCTTGATATGATTTTGGTTTTCTTAAATTTACTGAGACTTGTTTTGTGGCCTATCCTATGGCCATTTTACATTTCTATCAGCAGTATATTAGGGTTCTAATTTCTCCACATCCTTGCCAACACTTGTTATTACCTGTCTTTTTTATTATAGTCATCCTTGTGGGTGTGCGGTGATGTCTCATTGTAGTTTTGATTTGCATTTCCCTAATAATGCTGAGCATCTTTCCATGTACTTACTGGATATTTATATATCTTTGGAGGAATGTCTATTCAGATCCTTTGCCCATTTTAAAATATTATTTGTCCTTTTATTATTGAGTTGTAAGAGTTCTTTATATATTTTATATATAGATCATGTATCATATATAGTTTGCAAACATTTTCTCCCTTTCTGGGGGTTGACTTTCACTTTCTTGATGGTATTCTTCAAAGCACAAAAGTTTTACTTTTGATAATATTCAATGTATCTAGTTTTTCTTTCATAGCTTGGGCTTTTGATGTCATATCTAAAAAGTCATTGCCTAGGCCAGGCGCGGTGGCTCACACCTGTAATCCCAGCACTTTGGGAGGCCGAGGCAGGTGGATCACGAGGTCAGGAGATCGAGACCATCCTGGCTAACATGGTGAAACCCTGTCTCTACGAAAAATACAAAAAATTAGCCGGGAGTGGTGACGGGCACCTGTAGTCCCAGCTAGTCAAGAGGCTGAGGCAGGAGAATGGTGTGAACCCGGGAGGCGGAGCTTGTGGTGAGCCGAGATTGCACCACTGCACTCCAGCCTGGGCAACAGAGCAAGACTCCGTCTCAAAAAAAAAAAAAAAAAAAGTCATTACCTAATCCAAGATTATAAAGCCTTCCCCCTATGTTTTCTCTAAGAATGTTATAATTTCAGCTCCTATGTTTAAGTTATTGACTAATTCTGAATTGATTTGTTCATATGTTTTTTAATGATATCTTTTGAAAAGCAGAAGTTTGGTCGGGCTCAGTGGCTCACACCTGTAATCCTAGCACTTTGGGAGGCCGAGGCGGGTGGATCACCTGAGGTCAGGAGTTTGAAGCCAGCCTGGCCAAGATGGCGAAACCCCATCTCTACTAAAAATATAAGAAAAGCCAGGCATGGTGGCACACACGCACCTGTAATCCCATCTACTTTGGAGGCTGAGGCAGGAGAATTGGTTGAACCCAGGGGACGGAGGTTGCACTGAGCCAAAATCGCACCACTTCACTCCAGCCTGGGTGAAAGAGTGAAACTCCATCTCAAAAAAAAAAAAGAGAAGACGAAAAGAAAAAGAAAAGAAAAAGTTTAAAATTTCAATGAAAGCCAGTTTATCTGTTTGGTTTTGTTTTTACATATCATGGTTTGGGTGTTTTCTTAGAGAAATTTTATAGTTTTAGCCCTTATAGTTACTATGATCCATTTTAGTTTTAGCTCTTATAGTTACTATGATCCATTTTGATTTAGTTCATATTTATTTGTATCATGGAAAGATCTCAGAAAGCATGCTAAGTGATTAAAGCAAATTGCAAAGTGATATGAGCAGTACAATACCATTCATGCAAAATTTAAAAGCGTGAAATACCATCTATTATTCATAGCTATACATGCACATATAGGTTAAAAGTTTCACAGCAGAATTTTGATAGGGGTTGCCTCTGAAGGGAGGAGAGGAAAGAACTGGAACAGGAAAGAACTGGTGGACAAAAATATTGCAAATTTTTCTGCAATATTTTTAGGTTGAAATACATTTGACACAATATGAAGTTACCAATTTGGGGTGGTTAATTATGTTGTACTTTTTAGTTTTCTGTATTTTTTTTAACTTCTCAAAATACACATACACACACACACACACACACACACACACACACACACAAATGATTCAAAGTAAGAACCACAGAAAACAATCCATTTCTGTTGAGTTTGGTGGCCACACGGTTGAAGCACTGCGGTGGGGTGTCGTGCGTCCAGCCTGTCCACCTGTTCAGGGCCAATTCTGTTTGTATATGGGGTTTCTAGCTGAGAAAGCTAGAAGAAGGATAACTGTCTTCATTTGAATTCACTCTCACACTTTGGCTTCTATTTTTTCCAGTTTTGCTTCCACAGAAAACCCTAGTCCACCTTCCACACTCAGTTCCCGTTGTGCTGAAGAGCTACAGAGCCCACATCTCAGTGAGCGGCCCTTGATTAGTTTTCTCCTTTTATTTATTTTATCCCATTGCTCCAAACTTTCTCCACAACTATACCAGGGCCTCCCAAGGAAAGCTTGGTTTCTGTTTACCATGTGTCCTTTCTCACCTCGTCCCCGCGGGGTGGCCCCGGACAGCCTTGCTGTACATGTGCAGTGCATGTGGCATGACTGGCCCCATGGCCCCGCTTGCAGCCTGCAGCCGAGCTCCGCACATGCTCAGAGCATGCCCTGCAGGAAGTGGGGTCACAACCTGCAGAGTGCACACTGCCACCCTTGGAGTCAAGGGGTTGTTCCCATGCCTCCCACTGGCAAGCTGTGTGGCCTGACACAACGTCTCTTTCCATTCTTCTTCTTCTATAAAATGGACATAAAAATATATACCCTGGCTTGGTATGGTGGCTCACACCTGTAATCCTAGCACTTTGGGAGGCGAAGGCGAGCAGATTGCATGAGCTCAGGAGTTAAAGACCAACCTGGACAACGTGTTGAAACCCCGTATCTACTAAAAATACAAAAAATTAGCCCAGCGTGGTGGCGCACACCTGTAGTCCCAGCTACTCGGGAGGCTGAAGCAGGAGAATCTCTTGAACCTGGGAGGCGGAGGTTACAGTGAGCTGAGATCGTGCCACTGCACTCCACCTGGGCAACAAAGCAAGACTCTGTCTCCAAAAAAGATATATACGTATATAAATATATACATACACACACACACACACACACACACACGTATGTCCTTTCCACTCACAGGTTGCCGGCAGCAGCGGGGGGAGGGGTCCAAATGAGAACATGTACATGAATGTGTTTGCAAACAAAATGAAAGCTGTTTGCATGTTACTTCCTGCCCTGCAAGCCAAGCCCTTCTAGAGCCCTGGCCCAGTCACGCAGCTCACTCTGTCTCCACCACTCTGTGCCAGCCTCTTCTTTCCCTCCCATTCTTGGTCTTGTTCTTAGGATGTTCTCTCTCTCTGCCCTGCACGCCCCCTTCCTT